>NC_000005.10:26368426-26671457 GCF_000001405.40 Homo sapiens | reverse complement strand
GTAGGAAAATAGGCACAGGCAAGTCCAGGAATATAGACAGATTTTGGATCAGAAGTTTAAGTTGAACATGAAAGATCCAAAATTTCTTTGAATATTTATAAAGCGAATCATCAAAGATAGATTTTTACACTTTGATATTTTGCCAAAGGCAAAAGAATAATGATATACAGAATATTTTAATATCAGTTTAAATAAATATAATATTATATTTAAAAGCACTTTGAATTTATTTTTTTAAAAAGTAGAAACATTTCTCAAATATTAACATACAATAATGTAAGCGCACTTGTTAAAAAAAATCATGTCTAGAATAATACTGTCTGGTCTCATCCCGCTCCATTTATTAATTTTTTTAAGGAAGAAGTATTTTATTATTTTGCTGCAAAGCTGTTGCTTCACTGTATAAAAATAGCACCAGCAAATGCAGTGTATTGCAAAATTAAGATGGTGGTGTTCCTCATCTGACACTGTACAAGCAACAAAAACCTCTTAACTTCCAGTTATTTCCAGTGGAAAGATCATTAAGTATTTCATCCCAAATCCAGTATGGATACATGCAAGTTACAATATTACATAAGGCTTAAGAATAACAACGTTATCTTTGAATTATGTAATTTTTATAAACTAGTTTTTACCATGGATAATTTCATGAATTCTGAACACTATAGCCTAGTCTAAAAATCATAGGATATTGTGAAAAAGATGCGTTATTATATTTATCTATAATCATTAGAAAGTTAAAGGGCATTTTCTTTCATTAGCAATGTTAACAGTAGTTTCCCCCCGCCGCCCCCCATCGGTAATGCTAAAAGTTGCTATTCTAAGTCTTCTGTCCACCATTAATTTAAGACAACTCTGCTGGGTTGCGTTATTTCATACTAGTTTATTTAGGAGTTCCATTTTCACTCCTCAATAGATTTTATGTATTTCTCATAGGCTTCTTCACTCATAAGTTCATCTAGTTCTGAAGGGTTACTTTGGAAAGTGTGAAAGCTGCTAGTGAACTCTATTCTCCTTTATCAGAAGTAACCGAAATTAATGAAGCTCTTGCAGAAAATCCAAGACTTGTAAACAAATCTTGTTATGAAGATGGTTGGCTGATCAAGATGACACTGAGTAATCCATTTATTAATTTTATGACCTATGCCTTAGGTTCCCATTTGAAAAATGGAGATAAGAATAGTCCTGTTTTCTAGAATAGTGGTTGCAAACTAAGAATTCAATAAATAAAAGCTCTAAAAACAATACTTGGAACATAGAACAAACATTTCCCAAGTATTAGCTGGATCTTCTCAATATAGAAAGAAATTGTGATGATTTTTTTTCTTTTTTCTCTGGTGTTGGAAAGCTTAAAACTGTTTTGTAATCTAAGTAAAATTAAAGATATATTATTTAATCAAGTTGAATTCCAACGAATGCAAGCAATACAATAATTAATGTATAAAAATAATCTATATTGCCTTAATAATAGAGTCAGGGCGACCAGAACAAGTCAGTGCTCGACCAGTTCAACGCCCGCCAGTTCATCTCTTGGCTCCAGGACCTGGATGACAAGTATGACTGCAGGAAGACCTTCCTCCTCATGCGGCAGCAGCACGAGGCTGCGGCCCTGAACGCTGTGCAGAGGATGGAGTGGCAGCTGAAGGTGCAGGAGCTGGACCCCGCCGGGCACAAGTCCCTGTGCGTGCCCTCCTGCTAAGTGCTCATGGTCGACGTCAACTACGACTTTGTGTTGTTGACAGCGTGACACCTCGGGACGGCCGCAGGACGCAGGCGAGGGCGGCATGGCTGCCCAGAGCGGCTGCTAAACCCCAGGGACAGAGGAGGGAGCGCCGTGTCCACCCGGGCGGGGAGAGACCCCGAGAGAGACTGCACTTGGCCACAGCGTCTCCATCTCTTCCAGACTGGTCCAGACCATCAGGGAGGTGAAACACGTCTCTTCTCTACCAGCTGCCCGGCGGGGGCAAAGCCCCCAGAGCCTCACCGGCCCCGGCGGGACAAGGAGACCTTGCCGGGCGCAGGTATGGCAGCTTCTATCTGAAAACGGTGACCTTCGGGCCCTTTTCTCCAGCAACTGCAGAGGTATTTCAGGAGTTGGAGAACGGAGTGCATTTTTTAAAATGTTTGTTCCATTCTGATGAACTAAAGAAAATAAAATTAAGGTGTCCACCTCTCACAAACAGTGACCTCCAGGTCGGAGGGGCAGGAGCGCCGTCCCAGCCATGGTCCTGTTGCCACAGAGCTGCGGCGGCCTCAGACTGGGCTTAGGACCTGGCGCGGAGCAGGTCGTTGGCCGTGCCACCTGCCCAGGCAGAGGGACACAGAGCCAGGATCCCCGTAGTGTTTTTAATGGAGTCAAATCCACGTGGTTTGTCAATTTTTTCATTTAATCTTGGGCATTTTTTTCTCTTTCTGAGACCATAACTTGACTACAGAGCCAATAATCATATAAAAAGTGCATCCGTAAGCACTGTACAGTTTTATATACATTCGCAATGTACTTTTGCTGCCTTCTAGAAAATTTACTTTGCAACACATTACTGCAGTTGTAAATAACTTATGCACTGTAACATCATGTGTAAAGAAATAAATTAATTTTTAAAAATTACATTTTCTTAAATGTTTTAATTCTGAATGTTGCAATACACAATGTGGTTACCTTTTATTCAATGTTAGACGTGTGTGTGTGTGTGTGTTGCACTGAAAATGTCAACACTAATGTGAAAATATTCTTGTCATATAATGCTTTTAATTTGGCTTTATTAGTTGAAGCTTTGATTTTGTACCATCATAATAAAACAATGGTTAGTTCCAAATAAAATTTATCATAATATATCACCTTAATAGTAATAAAAACATCTAAGCATTACTTATAAGGATATATATATACACATATATATATGAAAACTGAAATATATCCATAGATTCTTAACATATTCAATTATTATAACAGTAATATATGGTCAGTAATAATAATAACCTTGAGAACAAAAAGAAGCCCTAAAGAAATAAAAGGCTGTAATACTACTGTGTAAACCTTACCACTACTAAAATTTTATTCATTCTTTCTTTTTAAAAATGTGTAAAAATATGTGCAACATTTGTCTATCAAACTTACCCAAACCAAAATATTAATAGTGCTGATGTTAGGAAACTATGTTTGTATATGTGTTTGTGTGTGTGTGTGTGTGTGTGGACATATATTTGCCTAAACTAAAATGGTTCAGACCTCTAGGAGGCCTTCTTAAAAGGTAAAGGGAGTCCTCTCCACTCCACCCGCTCCTTCATATATCCTACTGCCTGAAATGAGGCTCTAATCATTGGTTCTGTCAATCACATTGGACAATGAGAATGAAGGCCACATCTCGCCTCCTGGTCCTGGGACGGTTTGAACTATACATACAACATTTATAAAGTTTTATATGTGTATATTTTATATAATCTACATATATGTATTACACAGATGATAATTCTCTCCTTCTTTTCATCTCTCTATATATCCTCTAATCCTAAATAAACAGTTCTGATATGTTATTAGAAACAGAAGAGTCTACCTAACCATAACGGAATGTTTATTTTCCTAATGAAATAATTTTATATGATCCTAAATATGAATTCATGAGATCATCATTTTTAGGCTACATTTTTTCCAAAATGTTGTTAACTCGCCATTTAAGATATTTGTGTAATAATTTTAATCTCATTCAACTTCCAGTCTTAATCATTTTGACTTCAGCCATATAAATTGGTATAGCTGTCATCCATTAGCAAATTATGAAAATATAATTATCCCTGCACAGTAATCACCATTTTAATGTTATTTTTGCAGCTGTGCTAATATGCATTTACGGATTTTTGAGTTTGTTTGTTTTTTCTCCTATGGAGAAAGGCGCACAAGCTTGATAAGTTATAACAGGAAAGATGTCAGTTCTCTAAATATACACACATATGCAAGATTCAAAAGAGTATTCCGTTTCCTGGAGGACTTGCACCCAAAAAAGAATGCACTTCCTCAGTCAAATATGATTAAATCCACAACCCATTGTACAGCATTACTTGATGTATCTTCCCCAAAATGTAATGAAAACCTCCCTTCATATAAAAACTCTAAATGATACTTTATTTCATGGTTAAAGAGACTTCTAAGAATTTTAATACCTCTGAAAATAACAAATCCGTTAAAGAACTTGAAAGCACTTACATGTTAATAACTATAATTCAAAAAACCAGACTTGATTAAGTGATAATAGACGTAATTGATCATTCAATTCATTGTGGATTCTGAGATTTATTAAATTGTTTATACTGTTAACAGTTATTAACATTGTAAATAACAAAAACCCAAGTGACTATTTTATCATTTAAATCCCCACAATAAACAAAATCATTCCTACTCAAATGCCAGGTTATTTTAATGGAGATAAAGTAATCTCTCAAAAATCTTAGTGGGCACATTTGTTTTCTAATGAGAATTATCATTATGTATTTTTAATTGTGATATATTTATCACTATCTCAATGATGTCATTATCCTATAATTTTGATTATAGATAAAACCTTTTGATTATCATACAAGACTCCATCAACTCCAACTTCCCGTTCAATTATTGAAAACAATCTTAAAACCATGTAGAAGCTAATTATAAGACAGCATGAATAGCCAGAATTAATATAAATAATATCAATGGTTCATGTTCTCACAGCAGGATTCTGTTAAACACTTACTATAAATAACCACATAGTTTTTTTTAAGTGTTAATGGGAAAATGTGCTTATAGAATGATTTCCTGTATTATAAAATTACAAGCAAATCATTCCACCTTTCTGTACCATTCTGCTGCAACTGAATTAAAGCTCACTTTCTCCATCTATTGTTGCAACACTGAAGTTTATGGATGTCATGTGCATTGTGCTGTAACTCCAGAGAGTATCAGGTTAACTAGAAAGAAGATAGCAATTACATAGGTACTTACTATGGATTCAAGTTCATAAAAATTGTATTTTAGGAGGAAGAAACTGTAACAACTAAGATGATTTTATGATAATAACAAAATTAAAATTCTAAATTATACTTGAAGTAGCAGGATCCTGGGGAATAAAGATCACTGGCAGCCAAGAAATGTAAATACATATATGAACCAGCTGTGTGATAAAGGGCAGGCCATTTTAATACTTGAATCTTCAGTTATCATTTTTCTGTACTATTGGAGATTTGAGCTAAATTATGTCAATAGAGAAAACAGTGCAAATGAAAGTAATTTCCATATAAATTAACCAAACAAATAAAACAAATAGAGAAAAATAGCAAGATAAAGTTACAAATCACAATGACTTCAAAGGTTGAGATTCCCCAAAGAGATTTTTTTTGCTAGATAATTTAGTGCCCTTGAAGCCTCAATGAAATTCTAACAATGAACTTAAGGAAAAGAACACCTGAAAAAAATATTTCTTTTGAAAACAAGGTTTGAAACTTATAGTTAGTATGAAAGATATATAGTAATTTAACATTTATGTAATATATAGGTGCTTAAAATGCATTCATAGATTAGTATTTGTTTAGGCAAATAAACATTTACTTTAAGTGTTTTACTTCTTATCATTTTAAAAAGATAATTTCATCTCTCAGTCACATTTCTGTCTTGCTAATATCTGACTACTCTAGAGTTTACAGCTACTATAAAAGATTATGTTTGAATATGTAATATAATAAAACAATTTTTTAAAAACTAGATTATTTTAATATAAGAATTGATGTAAAAATAGTTTCAACACTAAAAAATATTTTATCTTAGTAAGAAAAGCAAGAAAGAGATATTTCATTTACTAAACATATCCAGACTTAAATTAATATTTGTTTGTTAAATATTTTTAAATAGCCTACTGAGAAATCATAATATGCATATCAAACAACACGATACAAAATAAATAATAATTTGCAAAGATAAACAGATAGATCAGAAGCCTAAATGAAGAAAGTAGTAATTATATATATAAGTCATTACATATGAGTAAGTTACAGCATATGTGAAAGATTAATATGCAGTTTAAATGAATAGAGAGCCAGGCATGGTGGCACATTCCTGCAGTCCTAGCTTCTAGGAGACTAAGGCAGGAGGATCACTTGAGCCCAGGTGTTCAAGTCCAGACTGGGCAATATAGCAAGATCCCACATCTAAAAAAAAAAAAGACAGAAAGAAATTCTAGATTCATTCCTACCCCCAAAAGTTGTTTTAATGTTTAAGGAGATATATGAAAAACAATATTGACACACGAAGTTTCAAAAGAAGTTAGAAAAATTATGGGAGCTAAATTATCAAAAGAATGTACCAAAATAAGAAAGTAGAATTCAATATGAAAATATGTATATGAAAAAATGAGTTTTTTTAAAAATTCAAAGCATTAGAACTAAGTATATACACACAGATATACATGTGCTATATATATATATACATACACATATATATACTTAGTAGAGTATACATAATATTCTGTAAAAGCAATATTTAAATTTAGCTTATAAATAATTTTACATCTTGGTATATTTATTTAATGCATTCCTGTTTTTTAAAAAAATTATGTATAATATTACACAAGGCCATTTTGGAGTCTGTTTCCAATCTTGATCCATGTGTGCTTTAAGTATAATCAAGTCTATCATTTGTTTGGTAATCTCTTGTTTCTTTCCTAATATTTTTTTCTAGAAATAGTTCTAGTAATACGTAAGACTTTATGGTTTGACTTTCAATTTTGACTTTGTCTATATTTAAAAAAATATTTTCTCTATGACAGGGTCAGCAAACTTTCGACCGCGGGCTAAATCCAGCCTTTTGCCTGCTTTTGTAAAATTTTATTGGAGCAGGACTTCTAATTTGTTTAAGTGTTTCATTAAAAGGGTTAAGTAGCGACAGGCGATTTCATATAGCCTGAAAAGGCTAAAATATTACTATTTGGTCCTCCAGAGAAGAAAAAAAAATTGTGTTACCAACTGTTTTAGGAGGTTATGCCAATTTTGTTTTCCTCCTTCAATTTCTCATGTTATATTTTTAATTTCCAGGGCATGCTTTGTTTCCTGCTGTTTCTTTCAAAAGCAAGATTTTTCTTGCTTCATGGAAGCAAGTACTTCTAATGTCTCTAAAAAGAGTATTTCTTATATTGTTTAATCTGTTTAATTTTGCTTACATATATTCTGTATCTTCTGACTTATTTTATTCATTTCATTCTGACTTTAATGTCAGAACTTTTCTTCAAATGGAAACTTTATTATTCAGTGCACTCATTAGTAAGAGTGGGGCATTAAGTTCTGATTAAAAACTGTTTGGTTGTGGATGTGCATGTGAATGTGAGTTGGAGGATTATTAACTAGCATATTTTAGCACAACTGTAGTAAACCTTTTCTTTATTGGGGGGATGAAGGGGAGTGGTATCCAACAATATGTCTTTGTGCTTATGTACATGTCAATTTCATTGTGCCTTTTTTCTGAGATAATTTCTTTCTGCAAAAGGAGATTCTACCTACTGCATTCAGTCTGAATGGGTCTGAAATTTAGGCTAGGGAAAAGTCAACCACTCTTAACGCAGATCACAAAGCTGACCTTCATGCTATCCTCTCCTTCCATATCCACTGACTCTTCATCCTTTGCTCTTCTTGAAGTTGATACATAGTCACTCCATTAAAATATACATATATAAAAACATTAATATATAATATACAAATTCTGTTATGTCTAATTATATATTTATGTATATATTTGCTCCTTTAAAATATATATAAATATATAATTACATATTTAAATATATTATATATTAAATACATATAAACATATTTATATATTTTTTTAATAGAGTGACTATGTATCAATTTCAAAAAGAGCAAAGGATGAAGAGTCACTGGATATGGAAGAAGAGGATAGCATGAAGGTTGGCTTTGTGATCTGTGTGAAGAGTGGTTGACTTTCCCCTAGCCTAAATTTCAAATCCATTCTGCCTGAACATAGTAGGTACAATATCCTCTTGCAGAAAGAAATTATCTCAGAAAAAAGAAGACATAATGAAATTGACATGTACATCAACACAAAGACATATTGTTGGATACCACTCCCCTTCCTCCCCCCAAAAAGAAAGTTTTACTACAGTTGTGCTAAAGTGTGCTAGTTAATAATCCTCCAACTCATATTCACATGCACATCCACAACCACACAAACAGTTTTCAATCAGAACTTAATGCCTCATTCTTAGTACAAAAATACAGAGTATAAACCTTCTGAATACTGTTTTTGTTTGGGAGAGTATGTGGTAGAAAGAGGAGAGATTCATGTGAAGATGACTATAGGAATAATTATTTTCTAAAAGAAAGCTTTATGAATGCACTTGTTTTTGGCACTAGACTGTAGATAAATCTCCAAGACCTGAGGCTTCCAAGGGCGATTGCTTCTGGCGGAGTCTTGGCTTGCTCCTGGATTGCTTGTGATTTGCCTGTGGCTTGGTTATGTGAGCATTTCTTTCTAGAGCACTTAGGCTGCCACTTGCTCCTCTATGTTCATTCAGGTCTGGCCCCACTGTCTGCTTTCCATTATCTAAAAATTTGTTGAACCACTTTACCTACTGCCATCCCCTCTCTGACTTTGTTGGAAAAACTTATTATTTTACTGCCATTTTAATTAGCTCTTTAGTTTAAGAGGTGAGGATAAAAGCATCAGTTTAAACTTTATATACTTCTTCTTCTAAAAATAAAACATCCATAATAGTTTGTATATTACTATATAAGTAAAACAAATTAAAATTAATAACAGCATGGCGAGCAGATTCTGGAAAGATAGGGGTCTGATTATATTTCCACTATTCAAACTCCTTTTTTTTTTTTTTTTTTTTGAGACGGAGTATCACTCTGTTGCCCAGGCTGGAGTGCAGTGGTGTGATCTCGGCTCACTGCAACCTCCAACTCTCTGGATCAAGCGATTCTCCTACCTCAGCCTCCCGAGAAGCTGGGACTACAGGCGCCCACCACCACGCCCGGTTAATTTTTTTTGTATTTTTAGTAGAGATGGGGGTTTCACCGTGTTAGCCAGGATGGTCTCGATCTCCTGACCTCATGATCCACCTGCCTCGGCCTCCCAAAGTGCTGGGATTATACTTTGGGTGGCGTGAGCCACCACGCCCAGCCCAAACTTCTTAAATTCGAAGAACCACTGTATCTCCTCTGGACCAACCAGTAACTGTGGTCAGGAGGCAAAGAGGGCACCTTGGACTTTCTGGGGTCTTAAAGATGAGAGATTTTTTTTCCTGTGGGTAGCTACAAACCTAGAAGGAGAGTGATGATTAGGGGAACCTATGGATTCCAGAGCTGTTCTAGTTAGTATTGAGTTCTGACACTCTTTTTTTTTTTTTTTTAGAGGGAGTCTTGCTCTGTTGCCCGGGCTGGAGTGCCGTGGCTTGATCTCGGCTCATAGCAACCTCCGCCTCCTGGCTTCAAGCAATTCTCCTGACTCAACCTCCCAAGTAGCTGGGATTACAGGCACCCACCACAATGCCTGGCTCATTTTTGTATTTTTAGCACAGACGAGGTCTCACCATTTGGGGCAGGCTGGTCTCGAACTCCTGACCTCAAGTGATCCACCCACCTCCGGCCTTCCAAAGTGCTGGGATTACATGTGTCAGCCACCGCGCCTGGTGGAGTTCTGAGGCGCTTAAAGCTTTTGTAGCCTTTGCAACCCTTGTAAGGGAGTGGAACCCTCAGGGTAAGTTTGATTAAATATACGTGTGTTTGTGTGTGTGTGTGTGTGTGTGTGTGTGTGTGTTACAAATGAATATGTCTTAAAAGCACCAAAGAGAAGAAATATATTATGGAAAGTGTATTATGGAAAGTGCATAATTGGCTGGGCACAGTGGCTTCTACCTGTAATTCCAACGATTTGGGAAGATGAAGCCAGAAAGGATAACTTGAACCCAGGAATTTAAGACTACCCTGGGAAATACAGTGAGACTGAGTCTCTATCAAAAAAAAAAAAAAAAAATAGCCAAGCATTGTGGCAGTCACTTGTAGTCCCAGATACTCGGGGGGCTGAGGCGGAAAGACCACTTAAGCCCTGAAGGTGGAGGCTGCAGTGAGCAGTGATCACACCACTACACTCCTGCCTGGGTGACAGAGTAAGACCCTGTCTCAAAAATTTAAAAAACAGTGCATGATGATTATCTAATGCTCTGAAATTTAGAATATCTAGAATACCTATGGTTTAGCTGAGAAGAACTGTAAACTAACAGTTATACTCCTAGATAAGGGATATAGTAAAAGGTGTTTAGACATCCAAGGATGTAGAAATCTTAATAATCTTAATATTCCATCAGCTTCCCATTGTTACTTATACTAAATGTGGTATCTGGGGTGCTGGGGCACTGTATTCAGTCTTCCTTGTAGAATGTTAGCCCTCAGCCCTCCCAGAAACCCCTGCTCTTGCTCTCTTCCCTCTTTTTTGGTAAGTTGTTAAGGCTGATTGCTCAGTACTGGTCTCATGATGGGACATCCGTGGTGCTTTGTTTCTTCTGGTTCAACCTTCTGTTAGTTTCCTACTGCTACTATAACAAATTATCACAAAAGTAATAACTTAATACACATTTGTTATTTTACAGTTCTCTATTTTCAAACCCCATAATTAGTCTCACGGAGACTAAAGTCGTGGTGTCAGCAGGACCTAGTCATTTTTGGAGCCCCTAGTGAGAGACAGGACTAGCTGGATCTCCTAGGCCGACTAAGAATCCCTAAGCCTAGCTGGGAAGGTGACCACATCCACCTTTAAACACAGGGCTTGCAACTTAGCTCACAACCAACCAATCAGGTAGTAAAGAAAGCTCACTGACATCCTAATTAGGCAAAAACAGGAGGTACATAAATAGCTAATCATCTATCGCCTGAGAGCACAGAGGGAGGGACAATGATCAGGATGTAAATTCAGGCATTCCAGCAGGCAACTGGCAATCCCCTTTGGGTCCCCTCCTGTTGTATGGGAGCTCTGTTTTCACTCTATTAAATATTGCAACTGCACACTCTCTGGTCCGTGTTTGTTCCAGTTGGAACTGAACTTTCGCTGGTTGTCCACCACTGCTGATTGCCGTCGTCGCAGATGCCGCCGCTGACTTCCACCCCTCCGGATCTGACAGGGGGTCCACTGCACTTCTGATCCAGCCAGGCGGCGCCCATTGCCACTCCCAATTGGGCAAGAGGCTCGCCATTGTTCCTGTGTGGGCTAAGTGCCTGGGGTTTGTCCTGATTGAGCTGAATAGAGCTGTAACACCCACCGAGTGGCCCAAGATTCCATTCCTTGGAATCTGTGAGGCCAAGAATCCCAGGTCAAAGAGCAAGAGGCTTGCCGCCATCTTGGAAACCACCCGCCATCCTCTTGGGAGCTCTAAGAACAAGGACCCCCACGTAACACTAGGGCAGTGGTCTCCAAACTTTTTGGCACCCGGGACTGGTTTCTTGGAAGACAACCCTTCTATGAACTGCTGGGGGTGGGGATATGGTTTCAGGATGATTCAAGCACACTGCATTTCTTGTGCACTTTATTTCTATTATTTTTAAATACTCACCATAATGTTGAATAAGGGGGAGCCCTGAGCTTGTTTTCCTACAACTAGACGGTCTCATCTGGGGATGATGGGAGACAGTGACAGATCAGGTATTACTCTATTCTCATAAGGAGCTCAAACTAAATCCCTGGCACAGAGGAGTTCACAGTAGGGTTCGTGCTCCTATGAGAATCTAATGTATGGCTGATCTGACAAGAGGCGGAGCTAGGCTTTGCTCACTCACTTGTGGCTCACCTCCTGCTGTGCAACCAGCCCCTTTACAGGTCACGGATTTGTATTTGTCCATGGCCGAGGGGTTAGGGACTGTTGCTCTAGGAGAAAATTCATTTTCTAGCCTTTCCAGTTTCTGAAGGCCACCTATATTCCTTGGCTACAGCTCCTTCCACTATTTTCAAAAGCAGTAGCATAGCATTGACACATTCCCTTCACTGGCTCAGCTTCTATCATCACACGGCCTTCTCTGCCTTTGACTCTCTTGCCTGCCTTCTAGGGGGATTATTGTGATTACATTGGGTTCTTGGGTAATCCAGAATAACCTGCCTATCTCAAGGAATTACATCTGCAAAATTTCTTTTGCCAGTAAGGTGACATAGTCACAGTTTCTGAGAATCAGGATAAGGACATCTTTGGAGGGTGACCTGAATCTTAGGCAGGTCCTGTGAACTTGGGCCTTGTGGATGGTGCCTTCTCAGCATTTATATCTTTCTTCCTCTTGGCAGTCAAATTTTGCATGCTATCTATGGTGGTTTGGGACAGAAAGAGATCTTCTTTTTTACCCTTACCCCAATGGTGCAAGTCTTCTCCTTTGATATGGTGCAGAATCTTGAGCTCATGATGTTGTCTCTTTCTCTCATTTGAAGCTTCTCCTGCAAGTAGTAGATCTTTGTCTGAGTCCTTGGAGGGAAAGAGGGGTTTCCACACCTCCCACAGTAGCAAATATATTTTTGTTTCTACCTCTTTCCCTAAAGCAGTGTGTGTTTCACAAATGGAGAGGAGGGAGGGTTTGCTGCCCATTCCCTGCCAGCTCAAATTTTTTGATTCATATGTAAGAAAAGTACAGGGGAACAGGTGGTGGTTTGCTATTCTATAGTTGCCCCTCATCACCTCCAACATGGTACATCTCCAAGGCAAAGTTAGGGCTGAGAGAGTGGAATTCTCTTTGGTCCCCTATCTTGAGTCACATTTTTAAAACATTGGCCCTATTAACATGTTGAGCTAGATAAATCTTTTATTGTGGGGTGCTGTCCTGAACATTTTAGCATATTTAACACAATCCCTGATCTCTACCTACTAGATGCCAGGAGTACTTTTAATTGGTTATCTATTCCTAGATAACAAATTACCACAAATATAGGGCCTTACACACACACACACACACACACACACACACACACACACACACACATATTTATTATATCACAGTTTCTGTAGGTGAGAAGTCTGGGCATGGATCGATTGAGTCCTCTGCTCATGGCTTATAAGACTACAGTCAAAGTGTTGGAGAGGCTAGGTTCTCATCTGGAGCTCAGGATCCTCTTTCAAGTTCACATAGTTATTGACAGAATGCAGTTCCTAGCAGTTATGGACCAGAGACCCTCAACTCTATAAACTGCTCATAATTCCTTGCCATGCAGTTCTCTCTGTGTGCTGTTCATATCATAGCAGTTTGCCTCTGGAAGGCAAGCAAGAAAGAGAGACACTCACTCCCTTGGTGATATGGTTTTGACTTGCATCCCCACCCAAAGGTCATCTCAAATTGTAATCCCCACAATCCCTATGTATCTGGGGAGAGATCTGGTGAGGGGTAATTTGATCATGGGGGTAGTTTCCCCCATGCTGTTGAGTGAGTTCTCAGGAGATCTGATGGTTTTATAAGGAGCTCTTCACCACCTCATTCCATGCACTTTTCTCTGCTGCTGCCATTTGAGAAGGTCTAAACTTGCTTCCCCTTCATCTTCTGTCATGATTGTAACTTTCCTGAGGCCTCCTCAGCTATGCGGCACTGTGATTCAATTAAACCTCTTTCCTGTATACATTACCCAGTCTTGGTTATTTCTTTCTAACAGTGTAAAAGTGGACTAATGCAGTAAACTGATACTACGGAGAGTAGGGCACTGCTATAAAGATACTTGGAAATGTGGTAGATACTTTGCAACTGCGTGACAGGCAGAGGTTGGAACAATTTGAAAAGTTCAGAAGAAAACAGGAAGATTTGGGAAAGTTTAAAACTTCCTTTGAGACATGTTGAATGGTTTTATGCAAAATGCTGATAGTGATATGGACGATGAAGGCCAGGTTGAAGTGGTCTCAGATGGAGATGAGGAACTAATTTGGAACTGGAGCAAAGGTCACTCTTGCTGTGATTTAGCAAAGAGATGGTGGCATTTTGCCCCTGCCCTAGAGATGTGTGAAACTTTGAACTTGATAGAGATGATTTAGATAATCTGGTGAAATAAATTTATAAGCAGCAAAGCCTTCAAAAATTGACCTGGGTGCTCTTAAAAGCTTTCAGTTTTATGCATTCACAAAGAGATGGTTTAAAATTGGAACTTACGCTTAAAAGGGGAGCAGAGCATAAAAGTTTGGAAAATGTGCAGCCTGATGATGTGATAGAAAAGAAAAACCAATTTTCTTGGGAGAAATTCAAGCCAGCTCTAGAAATTTGCATAAGTGACTGGGACTAGAATGTTAATCACCAAGACAATGGGGAAAATGTCTCCAAGGCATGTCAGATACATTCATCCCAGCCCCTCCCATCATAGGCTCAGAGGCCTAGGAAAAAAAATGGTTTTGTGGACATGGCCCAGGGCCCCCACTGCTCAGTGCCCTGCAACCCAGCCATTTCAGCTTCAGCTGTGGCTAAAAGGGACCAAGATACAGCCTGAGCTTTGGCTTTAGGGGGTGAATGCCCCAAGATTTGGTGGCTTCCATGTGGTGTTGATCCTGCAAGTGCACAGAAGTCAAGAATTGAGTTTTGGGATCCTCTGCCTACATTTCAGAGGAGGTATGGAAATGTTTGGCAGGCAGAAGTTTGCTTCAGGAGCAGAGCCCTCATGGGGAACCTCTGCTAGGGCAGCATAGAGGGAAATGTGGGGTTGGAGCCCCCACACAGAATTCCCACTGGAGCACTGCTTAATGGAGCTGTGAAAAGAGGACCACCATCCTCCAGACCCCAGAATACACCATGCAGGTAGAAAAGGCACAGACACTCAATGCCAGCCATTGAAAGCAGCCGGGAGGGTAGCTGTACCCTGCAAAGCCACAGGAGCAAAGCTGCTTATGATCATGTGAGCCCACCTCTTGCTTCAGCATGACCTGGATGTGAGATATGGAATCAAAGAAGATAATTTCAGAGTTTCAAGATTTAATAACTGCCCTACTGAATTTTAGACTTGCATGGGGCCTGTAGCCACTTTGTTCTGGCCAATCTCTGACAGTTGGAACAGGTGTATTTACCCAATGTCTGTACTTCAATTGCATCTTGGAAGGAAGTAACTTTTTTTTTATTTTACTGGTTCATAGCTGGAAGGGATTTGCCTTGTCTCAGATAAGACTTTGAACTGTGGACATTTGAGTTAATGCTGGAATGAGTTAAGACTTTGGGGGACTGTTGGGAAGGCACGATTGTGTTTTGAAATGTGAGGATGTGAGACTTGGGTGGGGTTGGGGTGGAATGATATGGTTTGGATTTGTGTCCCCACTCAAATCTCTACTTGAATTGTAATCCAAATAATCCCTATGTGTCTGGGAAGAGAACTGGTGGGAGGTGACTGGATCATGGGGACAGTTTTCCCCATGCTCTTCTCATGGTATTGAGTGAGTTTTCATGAGATCTGATGGTTTTATAAGGGGTTCTTCCACTTTGCTTCACACGCTTCTGTCTGTTGCTGTCATGTGAGAAGATACAAGCTTGCTCCCCTTCACTTTCCACCATGATTGTAAGTTTCCTGAGGCCTCCCCAGACATGCTGAACTGTAAGACAATTAAACTTATTTCCTTCATAAATTACCCAGTCTTGGTTATTTCTTAAAAGCAGTGTGAAATGGACTAATACACTTGGTTAATATGGAGACTTATGTAATGAAACATTGTCAAGAAAGTGAAATCCCATTTCCCTTGCCACACTGTTTGCTAGAAACAAACACAGATCTCACTCTCACTCAAGGCAGAAAGGTGATAATACACAGGTCTAGATCAGTGGGGATGATATTTCTGTGGTGTTATGATATATATTGATTTTCATCTATGGTTTCTGGCTTATAACTACCAAAGCCCTTTTGCTATATATACCAGTCTTTTGCTATAATGTTGGGTGTGTTAGCCTCAGAATGGGCCTCTGACCTTGTTCTGCCCTCCTGTGACCTTCTCCGACCCTCCTCTGACATTCATCTGCCCCAAGGCAAGACTTTAATGTTACCCTGCCTTTCTAATTGCTGGTCTTAAGACCCTCCATTGAGAATCTACCACCCTATACTGTGGGGGAAGGAATGATGACACCATGAAGCTTCCACAACAACCAAAGAAGGATTCAGAGAGCTTCTGGATAGCTGAACATGTGGAAGTTCCTGGTGGGTGGCCTGCCTGGGGAGGGTGTGGAAGCTTAGCGCCTCTTCCCACATATATATCTCTTCATCTGTATCCTTTATAATAAATTGGTAAACATTAAATGTTGCTGTAAGCCACTCCAGAAAATTAATTGAACCCAAAGAGGGGATGATGGGAACCCCATCATGAAGCCAGTTGGTCAGTAGTTTCAGAGGACTAGACTTGTGACTGGTGGGGTGGGAGGGCAGCTTTTGGGACTGAGCCCTCAACCTGTGGGATATGACACTATCTCTGGGTAGATAGTGTTGGAACTGAATTGGAGGATACCCATTTGGTATCTACTGCATGGGGTGTGGAAAAGAAAAACACACATATGGTCACAGAAGTCTTCTATGTTGATGAATGTTGCAATGAAAGAGTATAAGAAAATGCAGTTAAAGAGAGTTTTTCCTACATATTCCTCATCCCTAGTTGTGAAAACTAAAAATGTATTCAGACATTGTGAATGGAACCTGAAGAGTAAAATTACCCTGGGTTGAGAACCATTGATCTAACTTAATACATTTGGTCATCTGGACGCTTAATTAAGCTGATTTATTTTTAATGGCTTTTCTTCTTCTTTTTATGACAAAGATAAAGCAGCTTATATGTCCCATCTCTCCTCTGAGGGATTTGTCACTTGGAATTCAGTTTACTTGCTTTCCTGTGACCTCAATTTGATGGTGGCTTCAATACATATATATGATATTGTATAAAATCTAGAGTTTATCATTCCTAATAAAGGACCAATATTTCCCTGTCACTTTCTGTATCCTATAGCAGTGGCAACTCCTAAAAATATGGCTTTCTGATATTTTATCTCATAAAGGTGAAAAATCAAGGCCAACTATTAATATGGACACTGGAAACATTCATTATTATGCTGTTTCAACAGGTATTTGCCAATAACTAATGTGATTATTGCACTAGGGAGTGGCAGGGGTTAAATATAAAAGGGTTTCTACTCTAAAGTGTCTCATGATCTGAAATTTTGTGATCTGTAATCAATGTCTAATACAGTATATAAAGAAGGATAACTCACATAATGAAGAAGGTTACTTTTCCCTGGCCTTTCTAGAAGACAGAATAATGAAAACTGAACTGATTTTTCTGTGCTCACACTGATGAATATAATTTTGCTTACTTTATAATTTAGAAAAATTTACTTCAATTAAGGATACCCCTTTTTTCATAGATCAAACATCTCAAGGATCAACTTGGGAAGGTTAGCTTTCAAGCTCACTTGGCTCTTGATAGGATTCAGTTCTCCATATGCTCTCAGACTGTCACATCAACGTGTCACCAGATGTTATTGATAGGCCACATTCAGTTTTTTGACATGTGTATCTCTTCAACATGGCAGCTTGTTTCATCAAAAGATGTAGACTGAGAAGTCAACAGAAGCCATTTGTATTAAACAATCAATATAGTATTAAACAATCAATAAACAAACAATATAGTTGTAAACAATACAAAACAATGTATTAAACAAACAAAAAAAAATTATGTTTGTTATTGGCCAAATTGTGTTTTCCAAAAATTCATATGCTGAAGCCCAATGTTTTGTATTTGTAAACAGGGTCTATAAGCAGGTAATAAGGTTAAGTGAGATTATAAGGGCCTCATCCCATAGGACTGTTGTCCTCATAAGAAGAGGAAGAGACACCAAGGAATGCTGTCTCTCCAAACAAACACAGAAGATGTTGATATGGTTTGGGTTTGTGTCCCACCTAAATCTCATGTTGAGTTGCAATCCCCAAAGTGGAAGGTGGGGCCTGGTGGAAGGTGAGTGGATCAGGAGGGTGGTTTCTAATGGTTTAGCATCATCCCCTTAGTACTGTCTCATGATAGAGTACTCAGAAGACCTGGTTGTTTAAAAGTGTATGGGACCTCCCCACTCTCTTTCTCTCTTGCTCCTGCTCCAGCCATGTGAAGTGCTGTCTCCCTCTTTGCCTTCCGCCATGATTGTCAGTTTCCTGAGGCCTTCTTTAGGAAACTTTCTGATAGCATGCCTCCTGTACATCCTGCAAAACCATGAGCCAATTAAATATCTTTTGCTTTTATATTACCCAGTCTCAAATATTTCTTTACAGTAGTGCAAGAATGGACTAATACTGAGGCCATATCAAGACATAATCCAAAGGTAGCCATCTACCATGAAGGAAGGCAGCCCATTAGAAACCAACCAAAGGCACCTTGATATTGGACCTAGCCTCTAGAAATGTGGGAAGATTTCTGTTGTTTAAGCCACCTACTCTATGGCATTTTGTTATGGTAGCTCAAGCAGACTAATGCAATGTTGAATGTGAATATCTAAAGTATTTGTATATAAAAGTGTTGCATTATAGTAATATTGTATAAGTCCATTTTCACACTGCTGATAAAGACATACCTGAGACTGGGCAATTTACAAAAGAAAGAGGTTTAGTGGACTTACAGTTCCATGTGGCTGGGGAAGCCTCCCAATCATGGCGGAAGGTGAAAAGCACATCTCACATGGTAGCAGACAAGAGAAGAGAGCTTGTGCAGGGAAACTCCCCCTTGGAAAACCATCAGATCCCATGAGACTTATTCACTATCACTAGAGCAGCATGGGAAAGACTTGCCCCCATGATTCAATTACCTCCCACCAGGTCCTTTTCACAACACACGGGAATTCAAGATGAGATTTGGGTGGGGACACAACTAGACCATATAAAATATCTATATGAATACTGGTATTTCTCAGCATATTTTTTATTTCTTTGAAAAAGTGAAGACTTTTAATATTTTTAATGTTCATGAATATTTCCCGTAATGTTGTTTTAGATGAAGGCCTAGATTTATCAATTTGCATATGTCTATCTCACAAAGTTTCCCAGATTTTTCTAGCCGTTAGAAATGTCCATACATACTAGAAAACTTGTAACTTAAGAACACATTGAAACCACTCAGAAATAAAAAGATCAGAAAATGTGTTATGTTACTAATATTATCATGTAGAACAGAATAACTGAAATATACTAGGATGAATATTATGAAATTGACTTCTTTTTGGTCAAAAAAGTGTATTATTCAACCTAACAGAATAAAAAACGGTTATTTTTCAGTCATAATATTGATGTTACTTTTAAATCAGATTTGAATAGGTGAAATTTGAAGCTGAGTATGATATTGCAAATGTAAAAATCTCACAATTTTTCTACCTCAATCCATTATGTTTTTGAAATATCAATGTGATATAATGTTTTAAATATGCCTTTTTAGGCATATTTAAAAATTATTATTATTTTTCTTATATATTGCTTTGGAGTTGATGTCTGCAATCACAAATCTGGGGCAGTGTTAGTTACAGGAAAGGTAGAATAGAAACAAGCATGGTATTTGAATGTAGACACAGATGAATGAGAAAGTGGCATGATACAAATTAGCAGATCTCCGATTCATTATTTTAGAATACCTATCTTCTTATTTCATTGATCTTTATTCTTTTTTCATGATTCCTGTAATGCTTTTTGTGCCACTGATTTACTTTTTCCTGTGTTATACTAACAAAAAAGTTACATCAAATATTCATTTTATTATCTGAGTAACCACAACTTACAGTATTCGCTGTCAAGCATGAGCATAATAGAATATTATTTTGTCCCTTTTTTTTGTTTCTCTCTTTCTGACTATCCTCCTTCTTTCCTTGGAGCTCAAACCATAAAGCCCATTTGTTAGTGTCTCTCTTAAGGCAACAACTTTCAGTTTCAAGCTGATGTTATCTGTGCCACTGCCTTTTTCCACCATAATATACTGAATTAGTTTCAAATTGGCTGAAAACCTCTTGTTGTCTGTTCCTATAATTGAACTTCCCAGAACCCAGCAAAATTTTTTTATTCTTCCTAGTGAGAACTAACCCTTGGGATTTGTTCTCCTTGAGCCTTTACACTTATTTTGTAAAGGTTTTCCCCTACAGTGGTTTATACCTTGGTTGACCCAGATTTATGGTAGAGTTAACATTCTTGTCACTTTCCTTATGGTATTTGCTTCTTACTGTACTAAAAATCCAACACTAGAAAACTTATTTTTATTTAAATAAGTATTTACAGACTCCAGGCAATGAGAAAATTGAAAATAAATTATTCTTAACCCTGATTCACATTATTAATCCTAAATATCAACACAAAGTTTTTTAAATTTTTGGTTATAGTTTTTAGCATATCTATCTTCTGTATTTAAAAAGATAACATAATTTTACCTAACTATATAGATTTCTTGATACCCCTTTTATTAAATAAATTAAGATTTCTTCTTAGATTCTACTCTTATATAAGATTTAACAACATCGTCTTTGGGCATTCTAAAATGAGTTGTTAAAAATAACTGAATGCTATCCTGAGGAGGAAGGAGTGCATACTGTGTGACTGCTTTTGCCTCAATGTTGGTGAGTCTTGATAGACCACTGGACATGTTGAGACCATATGAATTTATAAAATGACTAACCAGAAATCATGGATATTTTGTGAGATTCGTTCTTCCACCCAAAGATGAAAGACATTTGATCCTGGTGACTGTACCATACTGAACTTCTGCAACAATGTCTGATACCCAAGGATAATAAAATGAAATAAACAAATAAAACTCTTTAACATGATGCCATGATTAAAGAAGATCAGTTTTTTCAGCTCCTGGACTCTCACATAATACGGTACTCCCGTGAATTTTGGCAGATTATTTTGGTATGAATACCTTAGTACTGAGTTCGAGGTATACTTAATATAAAATAATATGTCAAACAAAAACAACTTTTCACTTCCAGTGAGTGAAAAGATTTTTGCATTCATATTATGGTGAAAAATCTTACTACAGAGAGTGCTGGCAGAGGCTGAGACAAGCATTTGTCTAGGAAAGTAACAAATCAATGATATTTTGGCTTCAGGTTTGACCTCATTTAGCATAATCCATTTTCATCTTCTCTTAACCACTGTGAAAGATAAAAGAGTAAGAGAAAGGGAAGTTAAAAGTAGAGGCAGTCCTCTATAAGAAAATGAGTACTATATTGAATTCAATATGCAATCACAGGCTTTTGCTTATCAAGGGAGAAGACACTCAAGGGTTGCATGCATGCCAAGGTGAGAAATGTCTCTTAGTCTGCCATTAACTAACGGCTTAAAGAAAAACATGAGCTTAAGGCCTAAGATTATACATCTATCTCTGAATCATTCTCCATGTAAGGTATTTCTACTCCTATGAATTTGGAGCCAAAATATCTCCGCAATATTCAAACTCCAAACATCATTGTATCAAAACATATCTATATCAATGTCTATATCTGGAGAGTGTGGTTATAATCAGAGAGAAGGCCTGGATTCAGTGAAAGTGTCTTGTTGATTGTGTAGTAAGCTTTCTACATTGATGAGAATTCTGTCTCTTTTATAGCAATTGCAAGAGGCACAAACAGTAAGTAGAACTTTCTCATCAAATATATTTCATAGCTGTAGTTTCCTTTCTGCCTGTTAATAGATTCTTGCTTTCAAACAATAGGATGTTGCCATTCCCACAATACACAAGATCTACAAACTTCCAGCTATAGCACATTTTATCCTCCTATTTCGATTGTTCTCAGAGTTGTTTTATGCTGTGTATAGGTGGGGTGGAGGGCTTTTTTAAATAGGAAATTATAAAAACAACCTAGCTTCTATAAAGTAATGTTTGCAGATAGTGTTCAAATATTTTAGTTAAATTGAGTTTTTGGAAAAAAATTAATAAAGTGTATGTAGGAAATGCATAAGCAAAACACTTTACATTAAACAATTGATTTTTAGAATCCTGATTTTTAATCATTGTGGTTAGAGGTCCTGTATCATACCATTTTTAAATAGCACATTTAACCCAAAGTAAGAAACAAATATTATCAGATTTTATTTATTCTAATCATCTCAAAATATTTGTTTAAAATGCTATTAAATTTAATTGCTTAACCTCAGTGGACAATAAAAAATTTACGAAAGGTTTAAACCCACAGTTGTTGCAAAGTAGGACAAAGACTCTTTCTGGAAGACAGGCAGTGCTGTCTGTTACTGTAACCCAGTCCAAAGCTCCCGCTGCTTACCACAAGACAGCCAGGAAGTCGAGACACAGGAGTTGGAGCAGGGAAAGCAAATTTGTTTTAGAGAGCCAGCACACCAATATGGTGATGGAGTAGTGTCCTAAATAACCATCTTAAGCTATTATGAATTTGGGGCTCCTTTTATGTTAGGGAAACAGGGAAGACTGAAGGAGTGAAGCTCAAAAAGTGAATAGTGACCACAGACATCTGGGCAGCACTGAGGGAAAAATTCCTTTTCCTTGGCCAGGTCACAATGCTCTTATAAGCTTGTAACATTGTCGTTAGTGTGTACAGCCTCCTTAGTTCTCAGGGGTTAGTTTTGGCAAGGGACTATTATCATCCTTGTTTTAAAGTTAAACTATCAACTAAATTATCCCTATAGCTAGCTTGGCTTAAGTGCAAAGATAAACAAAAGCAGTTAACCTAAAAGTTTTCATGGCAGGGGGATGATGTTAGGAGCAAAATGGAATTAGTTTTGCTAGGCCTCCTTTTCACCGTTACATACCACTAAAGAGGCAATGTCATGAGGCTCCTGTTAATACCAGGTTAGCAGAACCATTTCAAGATTAGAGGACTAAGTGCAACACCCAAATGTGAGGTAGCGTTTTTGAAATGTTCAGAACGATCAAAGAGCAATGTACTGCTGCTAATTAGCAGATACTTTGGATGGCTATGACGTTACGTTTTGGTTTACACAAAGTTTAGCCAAACGTATGTTATTTTTGTGAGAGTTTATGCTCTGCTGTGGCAAAAAAAAAAAAAAAAGATAAGTGATCATATCATCTAATAAAAGCCATGACTTTTTTTAATGAATAGATTGTTGCAAACGCCGAAACAGACTGTTTTGTGAGAATAATGCAATATGAATCAGCAAACTTTTTGTTTGCCCAAACTATATAAAATTTATAGTGCCATTCATTATGTTGTTGTGAATCCTAGGGTCACAGCACCATAAGGTTTCTAGATATTGAAATTTATATAATGTATTAAAAAATAAAAAACATTGAGACCAGTTAAATTTAACAAAGTTTATTTGAACAAGAAAAAGGTTTTAGAACTGGGCAGCATTCCAGACCAAAGATGGTTGAAAATGATTCTCACCTACAACATGGTGAGTTGTATTTATAACAAGAAAAATAAGAAATGATGTACAAAGATTACTTAATCGGTGCAGTTTGGCATTTGCCTCATTTGGACATAATTTGGCAGCCTTCAGCCTGATAGTAGCTGAAGGTTCAGCTACTATAATTGGCTGAATCTCAGTTGCTTGGTTTGTAGGTATACTGTCAGGTTAGATTACAATTTGCTTGCACATCAAGCTACATTGCAGTTCGCTATTTATGGAGGCCACTTTGGTCAAATTTTATTGGGCAAGTACAGAGACTACTTTGAGCCAAACTGAAATCAGTTTATCAGTCTCCCCCTTTTGGTCATCTTTTTCATAATTTGGATCATCTTGCCTATCCCATGATGAGTTCTGGGGTGCAAGGCTTTTAACAGGGGAAGCTTCAAAATCTCAGGGGAACCAGGCTGAGCAGGCCCTTTGTGATTCCATGGGCAACATTGAATTTACATCCTTTCAGATGCTAACTCTGCTTTACTGAATTCATTGCATTGCACAGTTTATTAAATATCAGCATCAGGAAATTGACTTGGACAAATCTTATGAAGTTCATTTGAACTGTATATTCCAAACATTTCAGTGCTAGCTGACTTGGCATAAAAATCTGCCAAGGCATTTTCTTGGTATTCAGTTAATTTTTACTCTGCCTGATGTTGTGGTTAGCAGTTTTAGAGACACAAACAGTTTATTCAGTAGAGTTCTGGGAATTCTTACCTGGTCTAATGGTATGATCGTATTTCCAAAATTTTCATCATCAGTGTATTTTTGATATTAATGTTCAATTTCTTAGGAAAATTTATAAACCTCCAATCTTAGCCAGGGTGATCACATATAAAGTCGTTTTTACAAGACTCATCTTCCATAAACTTTCTACAACTTTCTTATCCATTCAGTTTTGTTCTATACTTCTCTTCCCATTCTGAAACAATTCAGTCATTCTACTTTAGGTTACAAATTTGTCTTCTTTTCCTCTCGATGAAACGAAAAATATCCTTGCAACTTAGCCTTTCTTTATCAAAGGCACGTTTTACCTTTCCTGTGTACTTGCATACAGACTTTTTCTTTCTTATTATTTCTATTAATTTTAGTTACACACATTAATTACAATTCTTAACTTATATCAACCTTAATTTTCAGTGAATTCCAAGAAGCACACAATTGTGAACTGTCACAGCAGAAATCTGTAGATTGGCAAATGTATCAGTCATAATTTCTCAAGTATTTTTAATAACCCTCCAAAGTATTTTTAGTCTATCTGTAATAAAATCTGTGGAGGAGGCAAAAATACTTTTATCTTCTTAGGTTTCATTGGCTACGCTAAAGAACTAAATTGTTGTTTATATAAATTGACCTCAGTCTTAACTTTCCATTCTTGGTGATAACAATGTTAAAAACCTTCTTTTTAGAAAAAAACATCTTCCACATGGAAATTTTCTCTTAATTACATCTACTTACTTCGTTAACTCTTAATAATTATGCCTGAATTGCATTAAAAAAAGACAAAACATTAAACAGCCATCATGCAAAATCATTCTTCTCACTAAGAAGTTTTGTAATATATAAGCTTATTTTATTAGCAAATCTAGGTAAGAAAATTCATGTACCTGCATTAGATATGTGTATTAGACCATTTTCACGCTGCTGGTAAAGACATATGTGAAACGGAGCAATTTACAAAATAAACAAGTTTAATGGACTCACAGTTCCACATGGATGGGGAGGCCTCACAATCATGGCAGAAGGCAAGGAGGAGCAATTAACATCTTACATGGAAGGTGGCAGGCAAAGAGAGAGAAGCAAAAGCAGAAACCCCTTATAAAGCCATCAGATTTCATGAGACCTATTCACTACCACAAGGACTGCATGAGGGAAGCCACCCCCCATGATTCAATGATCTCCTATGAGGTCCCTCCCACAATATGTGGGAATTATGGGAGTAAAAGTCAAGATGAGATTTGGATGGGGACACAGAGACAAACTGTATCAATATGTTACAGTAGGTAGTCAGACAGACCTCAGCAGGGTAGGAGACCCCATCACCATCACCACCCACCAGGAATGTCAGGAGACCATCAGGTGATCATCAAGTGGTTGTTACATGATTCCTCCAAAATGATAATTGGTCACAGCTAACAACACGGAGCAGTCCCCCAGTAGATAGATAGAAAAAAACCTAAAAACTTTTGATCAACAACTTCCTGATAAGATCTCAGGAGTTGCGCAAATGGGCTCAAGCATGTACATTAAGAGGAAAAACAGCAGAGTTTAACTGGTATGTGACCTTCTAGGGAGATTCAACTGGTACAGAAAGAATGTGTCAAGTGAGCATTCATACAACTCTAGTAAACACACTGTGCACGCGGCCCCTCCCAAGTGCTGGCGGGTCACTGAGCATATGAAAACCCACTCCAAAGGAAGAGTCAGTGGAGAAGGAATGCAAGACCCCAGAAGCATGCCAACAGATAAAACCCCAAGCCAGGCCGGGCACAGTAGCTCATACCTGTATTCTCAGCACTTTGCAAGGCCACAGCAGATGGATCCCTTGAGATCAGGAGTTTGAGATATCCTGGTCAACATGGTAAAACCCCGTCTCTACCAAAAATACAAAAATTAGCTGGCTGTGGTGTCATACGCCTGTAATCCCAGCTACTCGGGAGACTGAGACACGAGAATCACTTGAACCCAAGGAGGTGGAGGTTGCAGTGAGCTGAGATTGCACCACTGCACTCCAGCCTGGGTGACAGAGCGATACCTTGTCTCAAATAATAATAATTTTATATATATATATATATATATATATTTTTTTTTTTTTTTTTTTTTTTTTTTTGAGGCAGAGTTTTGCTCTTGTTGCCCAGGCTGGAGTGCAATGGCATCATCTCAGCTCACCACAACCTCTGCCTCCCAGGTTCAAGCAATTCTCCTGCCTCAGCCTCCCGAGTAGCTGGGATTACAGGGATGTGCCACCACTTCCGGCCAATTTTTTGTATTTTTAGTAGAGATGGGGTTTCTCCATGTTGGTCAGGCTGGTCTCGAACTCCTGACCTCAGGTGATCCGCCCACCTCGGCCTCCCAAAGTGCTGGGATTAAAGGCTTAAGCCACCATGCCCAGCCAAAAAAGATAATAATAATACTATATTAAGAAACACAAGCCAAAAGGTCAAATTGCCCACTTGATCTCTCAAGTTGCCCACTTGGCCCTCTTCTGAGGGGAATTTACTTCCTTTCATTCCTGCTGTAAAGTTTTTAAATAAACTTTCACTCTTGCTCTAAAACTTGCCTTCTCTACTTTTGCCTTGTGCCCTTAGGTGGAATTGTTTCTTCTGAGGAGGCAGGAATTGAGGTTGCTGCAAGCCCATAAGGATTCATGGCCAGTAACATACTGTGGTGCCACATGACTCAGATACATTCCACTGCTAACAAATATAATGCTAAAAACTCTAAAGGCATGTTTATCTTAATCAAAGCAACAATATTCTTATTTAACAAAGATTACTCAAGTCATGTGAAGTGGAAAAAATATTTAGGTCAGTGCTTAATTTTGTTGAGATAGTAGTTTATTTTTATAAACCAATTAAATTCACCTAAAATTTAGTTTGCCAATACCATTAAAAGACAGAAAAGTAATCAAACATATATATTATAAATGAAGACAGACAAATATATAGACAAACAGATCTTATAGCTTTTTTTGTACAACTTTAGCTGCATGCCAGGTACAATAATACAAGCTCACTAATCTTTAAAAACAAAATCTGGATCAACATTGTTTTTCTGGTCAATTGAATAATAGTTCCTTCCCAAATGGCTAAAGCTTTTTACTAATATTTGTGGAAAAGACTTTTAGATTTGTTATTGCCTTAATTTTAAAATATCTTTTTTTCTTCTTCTTTTTCTAAAGTTATCTCTCTAATTCTGATTTTAAAAGGAGAGTTTTCAGGTCCTAAAGAAGGCAAGGTAGAAAATTAACATCTAAAAGACACAGATCTGAGTTATCAGGTTCAAATTCCATCGCTAGCCTAAGCCAAAAAACGAGACTGTATGTAAAGGCCCAGTTAAGACAGGACGACAAGGAAAAATACCTTAAAGGTCACGTTTGTTATGTGGTTTGGATATTAACAGCATACCTTACTTAATTCTTTTTTCTGAGTTTTTGGCATAAAACCCATCAACAGAAGGTATTAACTAACAATTCTTCAATGCAGTATCTTGTAAATCAAGACAGGGGGTCACTAATTTTGATACTATTACACATTCACACACCACAATGCAGTCTTCACCTGAATCCTGCAGAGGAAGCTGAGTAGCAGGGGTAAGTAAGTTGCAATGTTTTAGATAGATATTAGAAGACAAAATAAAGTTTTCATAAGATGTTAGTCTACTTGCCAAAAGATACTGAGTTTAACTAGTTCAATCAGACTTTTCCACAACACGTGGATCATACGAGAAAAGTTCATTCTCTAAAACTAGCTCAGACGAGAACTCTACTAATTTGATTGTTGCTTCTACTGCTGTAAAACAATTAGGTTATGCCTTCACTACTGGGTCTAATTGCAGGTTATAAGTTAATATCGTTTCAGTACAGGTAGGAAATATTCTTGTTGTATTTTGCGCTCAGAATGTTTCACAATATTTCTAAACAAGCTCTGCTATGTGAAACTTGCTCATCATTCCTTTGTCTACAAAACCATATATGGACCAATCAATTTTCTGCAGAATAACTTAAGGAATTGGAAATTGAATATAAAAGGTTTTCAGCAGTTCTTACCAATAAAGAATTTTGGGGCATAGCAAAGATTATGACAAGAGAGGTGGCCGCAAGGGTTTGAAAAAGAGGTTTCGGTGACTGAAGGATTCCCATGGGAGAAGCAGAATCAAATGAAAGATAAAGGGGAAAAACATCAGGAAGGGCCTTTGGGGACTTCTTTTCATGGGAAAACAATGCTGGTATAAAAGTGGACAGTTGGCCAGGCCCAGTGCCTCAGACCTATTATGCCAGCACTTTGGGAGTCCAGAGCATGAGGTTCAGTTGAGTCCATGAGTTCAAGACCAGCCTGGGCAACACAGAGACCTCGTCTCTATAAAAAATAAAAACAAAAAAATTAGTTGGTGTAGTGGTATGGGTCTGCGGTCCCAGCTACTCAACTAGGCTAAGGCAGGAGGATCCAGGATGCTGAGGTTGCAGACCTCACCATGATGGTGTCACTGCACTCCACCCTCTGTGACAGAGAGAGACCCTGTGTCAAAAAAAAAAAGAAGAAAACAACAACAAAAAAGAGGGATAATTTATTTTCCAATGGCCTGGCTGTTTGCAGTACAGGAAGACATCTTTGGGAACAGGAAGAGATTTCTTTAGGAGCTTTTGCTTTTGGTTTAAAATCTATACAAGGAGGTCCTCTTTGATCTTTTAGTTATTGTAGCTATAAAATGCTTGTTTGCTTTCTGTATCGAGGAAATTAATTTTTTTTTAACTTTTATTTTAGGTTAAGTGGTACATGTGCACGTTTGTTATATATGTAAACTCATGTCACAGGGGTTTGTTATACTGATTATTTCGTCACCTAGGTAGTAAGTCTAGCACCCACTAGTCATTTTTTCTGTTCCTCTCCATCCCACCATCCACCCTCAAGTAGGTCCCAGTGTCTGTTGTTCCCCTCTTTGTGTCCATATGTTCTCATCATTTAATTCCCACTTATAAGAGAGAACATGAGATATTTAGTTTTCTGTTCTTGCATTCATTTGCCAAGGATAATGGCCTCCAGCTTAATCCATGTTCCTGCAAAGGACATAATCTCATCCTTTGTTATGGCTGCACGGTATTCCATAGTGTATATGTAACAATTTTCTTTATTCAGTCTAACATTGATGAGCATTTAGGTTGATTTCATGTCTTTGCTATGTCAATAGTTCTGCAATGAACATAACGTGTGCATGAACGACTTATAATCCTTTGGGTATATACCCAGTAATGGGGGTTGCTGGGTCAAATAGTAGTTCTGTATTTCTCTCTTTGAGGAATTGCCACACAGCTTTCCACAATGGTTGAACTAATTTACACTCCTACTGTGTATAAATGTTTCCTTTTCTCTGCAACCTCACCAGCATATGTTATTTTTTGACGTTTTAATAAAAACCATTCTTACTGGTGCGAGATGGTAGGTCATTGTTGTTTTGATTTGTGTTTCTCTAATAATCAGTGATATTGAGCTTCTTTTCATAATATTTCCAAGCAAGCTCTGCTATTTGAGCCGATTGCATGTCTCCTTTTGAAAAGTTTCTGTCATGCCCTTTGCCCGCTTTTTAATACAGTTGTTTGTTTTCTTCTTGTAAACTTGTTTTCTTCTTGTAAATTTGTCTATCTTCTTGTAAAATTGTTTATATTAGATCTTTGTGAGATGCATAGTTTGTAAATATTTTCTCCCATTCTGTTGGTTGTCTGTTTACTCTGTTTCTTTTGTTGTGCAGCATATCTTACTTAGATCTCCTTTGTCAATTTTTGCTTTTGTTGCAATTGCTTTTGGCATCTTCATCATGAAATTTTGGCCCACTACTATGTCCAGAATGGTACTGCTTAGTTTGACCTCCAGAGTTTTTATAATTTTGGGCTTTGCATTCAAGTCTTTAATCCATCTTGAGTTGATTTAGTGTATGGTACAAGGAAGGAATTCAGTTTCAATCTTCTGCATATGGCTAGAAAGTTATCACAGTACCATTTATTGAATAGGGAGTCCTTTCTCCATTGCTTGTATTTGTCAGCTTTGTCAAAGATCAGATGGTTGCAGGTGTGTGGCCTTATCACTGGGCTTTCAATTCTATTTCATTGGTCTATGTATCTGGTTTTGTACCAGTACCATGCTATTTTGGTTTCTGTAGCCCCATAGTATAGTTGGAAGTCAGGTAACATGATGCCTCCAGTTTTGTTCTTTTTCCTTAGGATTGCCTTGGCTATTCAGTCACATTTTTTTGGTTCTATATGAATTTTAGCACATATTTTTTCTTTAGGTCGTGAAGTATGTCATTGGTAGTTTGATAGGAATAGCATTGAATCTGTAAATTGCTTTAGGCAGTAAGGCCATTTTTATGTTATTGATACTTCCTATCTATTAGCACACAGATTCATAAAGCGAGTTTTTAGAGACTTTCAAAGAGACTTAGACTCCCACAAAATAATAATGGGAGATGTCAACACTCCACTGACAGCATTAGACAGATCATCAAGGCAGAACATTAACAAATATGTTTAGGATCTGAACTCAACATTAGATCAAATTGAACTGATGGACTTCTACAGAACACTGGCCTCAAATCAGCAGATATAGATTCTCCTCATCATCATATGGCACATACTCTAAAGCTGACCATACAATTAGACGTAAATACAAATTGAGCAAATACAAAAGAACTGAAATCCTACCAAACATACTCATGGACCACAGCACAATAAAAATAGAAATAAAGACTAAGAAAAAAGTCATGCAAAACCAGGCAACTACATGGAGATTAAACAACCTGCTCCTTAATGACTTTTGGGTAAATAATAAAATTAATGCAAAAATCTAGAAGTTCTTTGAAACTAATGAGAACAAATATACAACATATCAGGATCCCTGGGATACAGCTAAGGCAATATTAAGAGGGAAATTTATAGCACTAAAAGCTCATATCAAAAAGTTAGCAAAATCTCAAATAACAACCTAACATCATAATTAAAAGAACTAGAGAAGCAAGAACAAATAAACCCCAAAGCTAACAGAAGACAAGAAATAACCAAAATCAGAGCTGAACTGAAGGAGATCAAGACATGCAAACCCATTAAAAAACCCAGCAAATCAAGGAGATAGTTTTTGAAAAAATAATATGACAGATGGGCCACTAGCTAGACTAACAAAGAAGAAAAGAGAGAAAATCCAAATAAACACAATCAGAAATGACAGAAGATATTACCACTAATCCCAGAGAAATATAAATAACCATCAGAGACTACTGAGAACACTTCTATCACTTCTATATGTGCAAACTAGAAAACCTAGAAGACACAGACAAACTCCTAGACACATACACTCTCCCAAGACTGAACCAAGAAGAAATTGAAACCCTGAACAGACCAATAATAAGCTTCAAAATTTAATGAGTAATAAATAGCATACAAACAAACAAACAAACAAAAGGCCTTGGCCAGATTTTGGCTTCAAGGCCAAATTCTATCAAATATACAGAGAAGATCTGGTACTGGCCGGGTGCAGTGGCTCACACCTGTAATCCTAGGACTTCGAGAGGCTGAGGTGGGAGGATCGCTTGAGGTCAGGAGTTTGAGACCAGCCTGGCCAACATGGTGAAACTCCTTCCCTACTAAAAATACAAAAATTAGCTGGGCATGGTATCGGGAACCTGTAATCCCAGCTATTCTAGAGGCTGAGGCAGGAGAGCTGCTTGAATCTTGGAGGTGGAGTTTGCAGTGAGCCGAGATCCTGTCCATCTGGTACTATTCCTACTAAAACTATTCCAAAAATTGAGAAGGATGGACTCGACTCCTCCTTAACTCATTCTATGAGGCCAGTATCATCCTGATACCAAAACTTGGTAGAGATATAACGAAAAATTCAGGTCAATATCCTTGATGAACATCGATGCAAAAATCCTCAACAAAATATTGGCAAAATGAATCCAGCAGCACATCAAAAAAATCTTATTCACCATGATCAAGTAGGCTTTATTTCTGGAATATCAGGTTGGTTTAACATAAATCAATAAATGTGATTCATCACATAAACAGCACTAAAGACAACCACATGATCATCTCAATAGATGCAGAAAAGGTTTTCAATGAGTTCAGCACCCCTTCACCTTAAAAACTCTCAATAAACTAGATGTTGAAGGAACATACCTCAGAATAAGAACCATCTGTGAAAAACCCATGGCCAACATCATACTGAATGGGCAAAAGCTGGAAGCATTTTCCTTGAAAACCAGCACAAGGCAAGTATACTCTCTCTTACCACTCCTATTCAACATAGTATTGGAAGTCCGGGCCAGCACAATCAGGCAAGATAAAGAAATACAGGGCATCCAAATAGGAAGAGAGGAAGTCAAACTATCCCTATCGGGAGATGACATAATCTTATATATAGAAAACCCCATAGTCTTGGCCCCAAAGCTCTTTAAGCTTATAAACAACTTCAGCAAACTCTTGGGACACACAATCAGTGTACAAAAATCACTAGCATTCCTATATCAAAAACAGTCAAGGCAAGAGACAACTCAGGAATGAAATCTTTTTACAATAGCCACACACACAAAAAAAATACCCAGGAATGCAGCTAACCAGGGAGGTGAAAGATCTCTATAGCCAGAATTACAAAATTCTGCTCAAAGAAATTAGAGATGACACAAACAAATGGAGGTAATTCTTGATTCATTTCATCTCTTAGATGTCTCTGCCTGTCAATTAAAAATTGAATCCCATTGTTCTTGTGATTTTCTTAATCCATCCCTTTCTAATATACTTCTTAAATAAGCAATTTTATACGAATTAAAACTTACCCACTGTGGCTATTGAAATTTTATATTAATTTTGGTAAGTTTCATTCATTTCTAAAAAGGCACAGGTCCTGGGCTTATCGATCTTACACATAAAATTGCCTGGAGTTCCAGGTGGAGGAGTTCTAGACTCCCTGGAGCCTGATAAAGCCATGATTCCCTGTGTTCTTATAACTACTGAGCCCACTTCACTTCTTTCTGGTCCAATCAGACGGAGGCCTCCCCCTAAAGGATCCAGTACTCTTTCTGCCATGACTTTAAAGGCTAAATACTCCTTCACAGCTCAAAATCCTAGGTTGAAAAGCCGAAAACATAAAAAATAATGAATCAAGGCCCTTATCTGGATCAAATCCAGTTAACTGTTGTATCCAACTTGATTTTAAACACAGTTGAGCTTTGGTCAAACCCACTAAGACATCCAATGCCTCTTAACTGAATCTAATTCAGTAAAGTATGAAAAAGAAAATAAAAAAAGACAATGAGAAAAAAAGGATACAAGGATTTCTCAAATAACCTCAGAGACCTCAAAACACAAAATTAGTGGGGCTCAGGATCAGAGAGAGAGACCTTAGCCACACCTGGAGAGATCATGGGGCTCAGTGGGCACTGGCAGGTACCTAAAGTGGTTGCTAGTTCTCCTGAGAGTTGCTGGAAGTTCTACTGTGGATGCAGTTCTCCACCTCAATCTGTTTTAGAAAAAAACAAAAAAAAAGTTCAAATCCAAGACCAACTAAATTTTACAAAGTTCATTTGAGCAATAAAATGGTTCCAGAACTGGGCAGCATTTCAGACCAAAGATGGGTTAGAATGCCCCCGCTGACAACATGGTGAGCTGTATTTAAAACAAGAAAAACAGAAAATGACATAAAAAGATGACCTAATAGGTGCAATTCAGCCTTTGCCTTATTTGGGCATAATCTGGCAGCTTTCAGCCTGGGATTGGCTGATATATCAGCTACTGTGATTGGATGAGACTCAGTTTCTTGATTACAAGGGTACACTCAGGTTAGGTTATGACTTGCTGACCCATCAAGCTGTATTAGGAGGCCACTTTGGGTCAAATTTTATTACCCAGGTACAGAGGTGCTTTGAGACAAACATAATTCATTATCTTAACACATGATATTGATTACTGTTGCAGCTAATCTCCTAAAAATATGTAATACATTTTTCATTTTGTACACAGTCTAAATATATTCTTTATCCCTCTCACATAGAAAATGCCTAATTGGTAGTCAGCCCTCATATGACTATCATGCACCATTTTTAAAAATGTGCATTATTATTCTATAACATTGACCCTAAATTATTCCTGAGAGGTAAACATTAGTAACTCCATTTTACTACTCAGCAATTATTAAGATTATACTGTAATAAATATCAAAACTAGAATTAGAGTCAAATAAACCTCCTAGAAAACATGTTTCCAAACTTCAGTAGTTTCATTAATTTGCTTTCATAAACTTGTTCATACTCAAATACTAAATTAACACATTGTGGTAAAGGAAATAGCTTTGTTTTTCTCCTTCACTTATACTTCTTAATAATGCTATGTCTTAATTAGTGTTTGCAGCCTGTGAAAACAAATTGGTCAGCAGTATGTTGAGTTACGTATCATTGAGCCTGTAAATCACATCTAGCAGTTGGACAATACCTTCTAATACAAATATGTGGTATTATTTTTATTGATAAAAATTTAAAATTATAGAAATAAAATTCGTCAAAATATAGAACAAAAGTTCTTTTATAACCATACCATTTACAGTCAAGTTCATATTCTGATATGTTTTATTTATTGTTATTATTGTTTTTTCCTGAGACAGAGTCTTGCTCTGTCATCCAGGTGGACTGCAATGGCACGATCTCGGCTCACTGCAAACTCCACCTCCATGGTTCAAATGACTCTCCTGCCTTATCCTCCTGAATAGCAGGGATAACAGGCATCTGCCACCAATCCCACCTAATTTTTGTATTTTTAGTAGAGACGAGGTTTCTCCATGTTGGCCAGGCTGGTCTCGAACTCCTTATCTCAGGTGATCTGTCCACCTCAGCCTCCTAAAGTGCTAGGATTACAGGTATGAGACACCATGTCTGGCTGTTGTATTTTAATTATGTATAAATTGCTTTTGAATTTGCATTATTAGAGCTGCAGCTTATTTTTTACCTCAATAATTATGGTGATGTGATTATAGATCTTTTAGTCCCCCTCATTAGAAAAGTATGCATTTGTAAAGGATACTTTTAGTTAAGTAAGAGAAGAAAACAATAACTGATTTTAAAAAGAATATATCTCCCAGTCAGTATATTATTTTTCTTGTGCATTCTTTTATTTCCACACAAACCGTAAGATGATTTTTAAGTTGAAATTTTATACTGAGGGTCTTCTCAATTGTTAGTTTTTATCGTGGAGCCTATTGAACTTCTATGAATAGCTTACTCTTCTCAGTAATCATACTGTTTGTTAGTGACTTCAAGTCTGAGTTTTTCTAACATTTTATAAAATCTTAGGAGGGTTTGACAATATAATTATTTGCACTATTACCATTACATTTACTTTCACATTGAAAAACTCTTAAGAGACATTTACAATTGAAGATTTAATTTATCTTGGATCTTTGCATTAAAATCTATGGCCTAATTTACTAAATTAAGTTTAATCTCAGTTATTAATTTCAGAGTCTTGCTCTGTCACCCAGGCTGGAGTGCAGTGGCATGATCATGGCTCAGTGCAGCCTCTACCTCCCTGAACTCAAGCAGTCCTCCCACCTTAGTCTCCCATGTAGCTGCAACTACAGGAATGTGCTACCATGCCCAACTACTTTTTAAATTTTCTGTAGCAGTGGGTTCTTGCTTTGTTGCCTAGGCTGGCACTGAAATACTGGCCTCAGGGATCCTGCTGCTTCGGCCTCCCAGTGTGGGATTATAGGTGGGCCAGCAATCATTAATTTCTACATTACAAACTTTGATGACTCTTGTCTCTACTCAATACTGAATACTTCCCAGCCATTAGCTCTTGAATAGCGTCTTTTTCTCATGCTTTCATTATTGTCTGTTGCTGTTTTTCAGATGCATATTTACACTTTTGATTCTACCCTCCACATCTCTTACCTTGTCTCTTATATTTTCAATTTCCTTTTCTCTCTCTGTCTTATTATGATTAGTTTCTTCCATCAGTAGTTGTATTCTGTAATTCTCTCATTGAATGTATCTAATCTACCTTCTATAACTTCTTATGAGGTTTTTGTCAGTACATACACATTTTTTAAGATTTCTGCTTTGTATATTTTATATCTATTATTTTTAGTTTCATAATTAATTCTAGGTGCCTTATTCATTTCTTGTTTCTGATTATGAAACTTTATTAGAAAACTACTCATACAGTGGCAATTATTATAGGTCTATTAGTTTGAATAATCCATTTTTTATTAGGTTTTCTTGCTTTCATATATGCGTCACAAATTTTTGGTAGCTTGTTTGAGTGCTTATTGGGAATGAGAGAATTTATTGTTTTTTTCTTCTCTTAATAGATTCAATACTTCCCAAAGAATAGCTTTATTCAATCCACCATCTGATTCAGAGTTCATAGATTAGAACTAAAATGTATACTAATGTATCTGAGAACTTGGCCTCTGACTTTTGCAGTTCTCATGTTTGGGTCTTAATACGGCAGTCTATTTGCTGGTTAAGTGGAAAACTGGTTTCCTCCCTATACTACATACAAGAAGCTCATTTTCTATAATTAGCCATTCAGTATGGTGAGGATTTATTGTTCAAGAGCCTAGTGTTAAGTCAAGTTAACCGGTTTTACTTGGAGCATATGTCTTTGGTTTTCTCTCATATTTTGCCTAGTAATTTAAAATTTCTTCTTGGATTCTAGTGCAAAAAATCATTTGTGTTCTCCTGTTAGTTGACTAAGATTTTAATATTACCTAGGCTCAATATTTTAATGTTTTAATCAATGTTTTAATCAATCAATGTTTTAATGTTTTAATGTTTAATGTTTTAATGACTTTTTAACTTTTGTTAGCATATGCTAAGTTTACCACATGCTCAGATTTTTACCAAGATATACACATACCCTTTTGACACTTTCCCATTACGAAGTATTATCATTTTAGGCACTCACAAATAATATAATTTTATATAACTTTACATCATCCAGTCTGCTTATGGCTTCACAGCCTCTCTTCTATTATTAAGCACTTCCTTACCCAGTTATTACCTTAAGAAATATCAAACACAATACGTAAGCAAGTCGGCCTCTGACAAATGGCACTCCACTTTTATTCTTGGGATCAGTTAGTTTCACTATAAAACTATATGATTATACGACATTTCTTTAGCCATGTGTAGCACCAGTCTTCATTGGGATGAATTTCAATATTCTGTCCACAGATATTCTGAAATACTATATTATCCCAAATAAGTTAATATGAGGTTATATCTACCTTTTATTGGGAGAACATTGCTCAAATAATTGTTCAATCCTTTACATAGATATCTGTTTGGTCCTTTAAATAAATATCTCAATATTTCTCAGCTATATTTTTTGTAATGAAGTGTTGAATATCTCATGCAATTTATTGAATTCTGTGCTGAAAGTTAACACAGATGGGTTCCATGAGTACCACAAGTACATTCTCTACTGAATGAGTATTGCTTTCACGCCACTGCAAAGTCGAAAATCTTAAGTCGAATGCCAGGGATGTCTGTACTACATTATGTGTTATACTGGGAACAGGGTTGTCTTAGTGTGAAGGGGAGGGCAAGGAACGGTCAGGACTAGGGGCACGAATTGTAGCAGGACCATGGCCATGCAGCCTAAGACTTGCCTGCAGTGCACTCTGGCTCTGTGATTGAGTTCCTGCACTGAGATGTGATTGGAAGTGATGTGAACAACGTTTTTGCAAATGAGGATAAGGGTTTCCTCCATCTTCCTTTCTCCTGCTCTTTTTATTTCTATTTTTTATTATTATTTTTTAGATTTCCATAGGTTATTGGGGAACAGGTAGTGTTTGGTTACAAAAATAAGTTCTTCAATTATGATTTGTGAGATTTTGGTGCACCCATTATCCGAGCAGTATACATTGCACCCTATTTGTAGTCTTTTATCCCTCACCCCTTTCTCACCCTTTCCCCCGAATCCCCAGAGTCCACTGTGTCATTCTTATGCCTTTGCATTGATATTTCTCAACTATTTTTTAGTTCTTTACATAAATACCTGAACAATTGCTTTGGTTTTCATAAAATTTGGTTTTTAAAAATGATGAATACAGTCATTAGTATGGTCTGTCGTTTCTAATAATTAGAGCCATGCGACATGTTTTCTTTAAACTTTCTGCCAGTAAACTTAGAACATACTGAAATGTACTTTTATAAACATAATATCCTTTACAGAAGATATATCATTGACATTGTTTTGCATTTATTTAAAAAATTCAGATTTTCTGATCATTTCTGAATGTTCTTTATCCCTTTTATTCATCCTAGATTTTAAATACTTTGAGAATCCAGAATATATGCTAGAAATTTTCATAATTCCAGATTAACCCATATAATTTGGTATATGTAATATATATAAAATAAAAAAAAGAAAGCATAATACAAGAATTGAGGTTTATATGCAACATGACTACTAAAAGTCCCTGATGTATACACATACATTTCTTTACATCACACAGATTGAATTTAGGAAGTAGATATTAATATTTCACTTTTTAATATATGAGAAAAATGAAGCTGTGAAAGATAAAAAAGTGTACAACATTGAGAGCAAATAATTTACGAAGTCATTTATACAAATCAAATCTTCTGAAAAATTCAATTAACTTTCCTTTCTATGACTGCCTAGCTTCTGCTTACAATGAATGCAATGCAACCAGACACATTATTCATCTTATATGTTCAAGTTAATTCAAGATTATATCTACTATCCCAGAGTTCATGATTGGATGTTGGCTCTTCTGATTTATGATATGGCACACAGATTGTGATTATTAGTGACTTGTTGGTTTTGAAATTGCTAACATTCAGAGTTTCATTTTTTGAACTTTTAGTGAAAAATGAAATGTCTACCAATCTTTCTGTCCATGGAAGCAGTTTTGTGGAAGAATGTTCAGTCACTCGTCATTCCCTCAGCAAACATTTTTGAGTTCCTTGTAATCACCAAGTAGTATGCTCAATGGCTGGGAATATAAAGATAAGAGAGAGTCCCTGCATCAAGGAAAGTAATTTCTAGGGTCTACATAAATATGTATGTAATTGGTTACTAAACAATGCCAATAAACATGGCATGGTGATGGTAAAAAATAGGGGATGATGGGATCATAAGCGTTAGTATGCAAGGGTGCCTACAAATGTCAGAGAAGGTTCTATGAAATTGAAGTGAGATCAGCAGGAAAATATAAATGTGCCTTTTAAGGAAAAGAAGTGCAGGAATTTCAGTTGATACTACTACCATATACATGATACACTATGGAAGGACACTATATATTCTGAAAATTACACATACTTCATCTTTATTCACCAACATTTCTCAAAACACATTGTTTGAAGATAATATTTTGCAGCTGGTGGATACAATATCCTATCCACATACACATGTTTACAACAGCGTGTGCCTCCTCAGTTCGTTAGGATGGCAATAGGTATTATATGAATACAGATATCCTTTGCAAAAGTTTGGATTGAACCGTTAAAGAAATTCATTTAATAAAATCCTTTTTAAATAACATACCTTGTAGATCACTAGTCAGAAGTGTTTAGTGATAAGATACATTAGCATACTTAATCCCAGCTTTAATTTTACAGAACAGTGGGGTCAGTAACACATGAACAACTACTGCCACCTTCTTATACTGGCACCTTTTTACCCTCATGCTCATTCACACCCATATTCACACTCATTGGACATAACAGAGCTACCTCCCTCCTTCCCACACACAGATTCTCCATTCCCTCTCTCTCTCACATAAGCTAAACTCACATAAACACCTCAACGTCATGTTACTTTTAAACTCCTCCTACCCACATATATGACAAATAATATGTATTTAATATCTGAAGTAAGCTTTTTAAAAAGTGGAATATATTCTATGAATTTACACTAATTTGATGACATTTGAATTTAGTAAATTTCATACCATGTCATTAAGACACACATATCAATTTTTAAAGTTTTATTTTCATATTTGTTTTTTGTCTGAAATACTGCCATAATGTTCACAAATAATTGATTTCAGTTCAAAGGTAACAATCATTTTCGTTAGAGAATATTAATTGGACTTTAACCTTAATGTTTCCCCACAACAGAATTTTTATTCTCATCTGATTTCTTCAATTTATGATTTATGAAGATTAAACATTTGTCCATTACTCTCTCCCCCCAAATAAAGCATTCTTGATCAACAACAGCAATAAGTAAAATGTAACTTTTGAATAGTAAATTTTGGCTAAGAACTGATAACGCACTCCATTTTACTCTGCTAGTATTAAATGGGTGCGAAACTGTATAAATCTTTCTCTGTTTTATTTTCTACCATAAACAAGCATTTTATATAACTGAGAGTTTCTTCTGCGGTAGAATACAGTAAATTATGAAATATTTTACAAGCTCATTAATGTTTAAAACAATAAATGTATTCATTTATAAAACTGAAATACCTCAGAATAATCATGACAAATTTTATCCTTAAATGTAAATAAAATTTGTTTACATTTTCTTCTTATAAAAATAATATATGTTTAGTATGGAGGAACTGTAAGCTAAAAAATGTGTAATATAAATACAATAAAAGTCATATTACCATATTCTAGGGATATTGATTATCATAATGTTGATGTTTGTGATTATTTTCCTTCCTCCATACACATACACACATGCACACACACTTTAAACATTGAATATTTACTATACACACGTTGTATATAGTATCATGTATCACAAAATATGTACGGTGAGCATTTCCTCAGGTCTTTGGATATTTTTATAAAATACTGATTCTATATCCTTTTTTCTTTTTTGGTCATTTCAAAGGTCTTTGAGTGACACTGAAAATGCACATCTTTTTACTGTCCACCGAAGAGCTGATTTTTAATGGATTAAGTTTAGTTTCAGGATTAACACTGTGATATGCTAGAATGCAGAATACAGGCGTGGCTCTTAAGTCCAAATACTAAGATAGAACAAATAGCTTGAGGATGTGTGGTAAGGAGGAGCGCTTAAGGATTATAGGGAGGAAATCACAGGGAGGATCTTATCCTCATTTTAGCTTCTCTAGACAAAAATTTATCTTATAAATTAAACACCAAAATATGCTTAGGACTATATTTTCTAAATTAATTAAAGCCTATCATCCTTTCAATCTGTTGTATTTTCTATTTCTATATACGGGTGGATAATTCAGGTTAGAACTGCTCTTTGCAGCTGGAAAATTCAGATTTAAACAGGCGGACACAGAACAGGAAGTTAGGATTCTTCCTGGCCTAAACCATGATCTTCAACTTATCTTTTACCAAGTTTGTCTACACTGGTTATTTGTTAATTTGTTTATTAATATAAAAAGCAGACATTGCTAATCCTTGCATGTAATTCTTTTTATACATTCATGTTTGTGAATATTGACGGAGAAAAATATCCAGCAGAAGTCCATCCCAAACTGTTAGTGATGACCAACTCTTAGACACTTTTTAGATAAATAAAAATAAATATGTGAACTATATTTAGATTTATATGAGTGAGGTTGCTTCAATACATCCACAAAATAAGAAAAAATTATCAATTTTACATATTTATATTCATAACACAAAGAGGAAATGGTTGTATGTGTCCTTCTGGACATATTACCATGTTCCACCTTTATATAATAATTTTTAGAATTACATTGGACAATTAGTGCATGAACTGGCCACATCATCTGTTAACCCAGAAAAATTTTCTCTAGTGATACTTAATATCACTTCAAATGAATTCCTATTGTTAAAAGTTGTCTTATGAGAATTTTAGAAAATATCCATAATACTATCTGATGCTACCAGGCATTCCCAGGTATATCCCTCATGGATTTTTACAAAATGACCATTCCTAATGTTTTCTTTTAGAATTGGCAACAGATTCCATTTATCTTTGTTGAGAACTTTGAACTTCTCTATGGATTTGTTTTGCTGTCTTATAATGCACTTTGATAAGGGCTTAGGTCCAATTAGCCTCTTTAGCATGATGATTTGCTCAAGGTAAAAAAGTGTTTTTATTTAATAAAAATTGATGTGATATCATTATATATGCAGGTGATTCTACAAGAGCTGAAGGTGCTTTGTTTAATTTATCATACGAAGCATATTTGCTGAGGACAGGAGAATATACTTTGGCTCTTGGATAAAGAGATAGGCTATGATAAGCAACGCATCTTTGACATGTGCTGTGTTGAGTTAATGTTCATAAAGCATAACCTGAATGTTCATCTACATAAAATAGAAGTTTATGATAACCAAAGAAGACCTATTCTAAAATATTATAGCTCCAAATGTGTCTATAATCATGGAGTCCTTGCTAATATCTATTCTGAAATCATATTTAATTATTGGATTATTTCTTGAGACATTCACTGTGTATGTATATTATTGTCAAGATCAATTCTAATTTGATTGTGGAGACAGAAAAAATCTAAACTTCTCTTAATAGCACATCTGAAAGACAGTTTAACTGGCAGTTCCGTTTGTAAATTAAATCACCATTAAACTTACAGGGGTTGTGTCACAGAGAATAAAGGATTATTTTTCTAATAATCATCCCGATTGACTACAGTTTATGAAATAACTTAGAATTGACAAACATTAGTACTTCACAAGTAGTTTTAGTACTTGTGATCTGATAATGATGCAGTATTGTTCAGCTATGACTGCACCTTTGTCAATAAGAAAGCTGTGTCTGGGCGCGTTGGTTTCTGCCTGTAATCCCAGCACTTTGGGAGGCCGAGGTGGGCGGATCATGAGGTTAGGAGTTTGAGATCAGCCTGACAAACATGATGAAACCATGTCTCTACTAAAAATACAAAAATTAGCCAGGTGTGGTGGTGCACACCTGTAATACCAGCTAAACTGGAGGCTGAGGCAGGAGAAGCACTCCAGCCTGGGCGACAGAGTGAGACTCAGTCTCAAGAAAAAAAAAAAAAAAAGAAAGGAAGAAAACTGTATTTTGTGCATTTATATTTGTGGACAATTTTCTCTGACAATGTAGAGAGAGAAAATTGTTAAAGATCGCATTTTCTCACAGAGTGATGTCATTCCATGATATTTTTTACATTTGTCCTTCAGTTTCTTAATCAATGTAGAGAACATTTAAGTTTTCAGTGAATTTTCTATTTGTAATCTTTGTAGGCATCCAGATTGAGAGGCTTACAATTCTTTAAAAATAGTAAACAAATCAGTCTTGTTTTTCTTTCAGGAAAGGGTAATTTTATCTAAAGGGTCTTATGTTTTTTTCTGGTTTTCATACTTTTTTTTTATCTTCTAGCACTCATTGTAAATGTTTTGCCACTTGATGTAGACCTTCTCACTTGGCAATTAGCCATTCTAGTTCAATATTCTCACCAAGTCTCCTTTTCAGATAGCATCTCATTTACAAAAAAGAGAACAATGTTACTTTTACTTTGGATGTTGGGTCTACCTCTGAACATTGAAACATTTTTGGATTCTGTTTTTTAACGTCTCCTATTAACTAGTCTTTTCCCCACAAACTTAATGAAAAGACTCCTGAAATAGTATGTTTAGTTAATTTACTACATTTTTTTGCCTTTTCTCAAGGCCAAGAACTATATGTTTAAAACCCTTAACAACAACAACAACAACAAAATCAATAAGGCAGCTCAACGAAATAATTCAGCACGAGATCGCTATTGAAATCAATTTACCTGGCAGTGAGAACAACTAAATTTGGGCCAAAGTGATGAACTATCATGCTTGGATGTCCAAAATTCCCATGTAATGCTTCCAAGTAATAGTCTTCAAAACAATTAAGATGGATGCTCCAAATATGGAACGAAGAGGTTACTATCCAATATCAGAAACAAGACGTAAGTTTATTAATTGTCAAAGAGAGAAGCTCTGCATTGTAGGATACTGTCTATCTGAACAAGCACATTGTTGGTCACATATATGATTATAAGAAGTGTGGATTTCAAGTAGTAGCACTGATTGACTGGCATTCTGTATCACCACTACTTATGGAAAGTTGTCATAGATTATGTTGGATTTAAATCCAGTGTCAGTGACCAGAGCAGCTATGGTTTAAGAACATGTTGTCTTTTCCTTTCTAAGAACAGTACAAATATCTATGGATTCTAAGATGGTAGAGTGAATCAGAGATAACACTTGGTCAATTGCAGATAAATAATTATTTTTATTATTGGCATGCATAATGATTTATCTCTTTAAATAAGTTAAATCTGCCATAGCAAAGGTGACTAAATCTTCCATTTCTTTACACGAGTCTTCAGTATAAATGACTGGAGACTTCTCACAGATGGTCCAGTAAAAGGTTGACTGATACTATAAAAAACAACTAAGGATAAATTCTCATATACATATGTGTATTGCATTTTTGTGGGTACTCATGTTTTGAATAGTATATAAAGCCACTGTGATTTACATTATTTTGATATCTGGCCAGAAACTGTCTTGATTACCTTTGCCCAGGAATTTGCGGAACACCTACTTTAGTCGTATTACATAACTAAGAAGAGGCCATGAAAATTATCTCTATTCAGTCCATCCCTATCTAAGAAACCTAAGCTGGTAAGATCCTACTACCAAAACACACCTGCCCATTTGCTCTCCATCTCAGTAACATGTGCCATCACTTCTACAGATACTCGGGCCAAAAATTATTGACAAAACAAATCCTCCATTTCCTCATATTCCAAAATATATGTAAATCCTGAGGGCTCTGCTTTCAAATTATATTCATAACTTCTATCACTGCTGCCCTCCCTGACCTGGGTATTGGCAGTTTCCTGTTTCTCACTCCCCACATATTTTCCATCCCTCATTCTTTTCTTTAGTAATGTTCTTCTCTTCTTTAGTAAAAGCAAACTAACAAAATGCAGTCTGAAATTTTTGAAATATTCTCCTAATGAAGGCTTTTCTAAACTTAGTGGTAATGCAGAGCACCGATAACGCTGACTACTGGTGATCAGGGTGACCAGTGCTCCTTCAACTATGAGAGCATGCTCAGACACCCAGTAAAAACTTACTTATTATTCCTCAGCAAAGAAACTACATGTGAATGAAAAACAAATAAAGATAACAACAGAAACACTTGGCATTTTTTAGTTTTTATTAATTATAATTTATGTATTGAATTTATTTATAGAATTTATTTTAAGTTTAATTATAATTAAACATAAGTTAGTTCACATTATTCCTATATCTTTACTCTTGAAATATTTTTGGGAAACATCAATTGCTTAGGTTATTTTGTTAATGAAGCAAGACAAGAATCCTGTGTGGATTTAAAATGTGTCTTTTAGAGTATTCTTTTCAGAGACATAATAACAGAAAATGATTTTTGATTTGTAGAAATTTCATCCTACACTCCCAGATTATTAATGCTGTTCACTCACTGATATGTAATTGTGATTTCTGTTCACACTATTATCAATATAAATATCTATTATCCTGAAATTTAGACTAGCCTCACAACCAAATTATTTTGAAACTCTAAATAAGGAAGTGAATAAAAATTCAGTTGACTCCAATATATAGGATTACAATATAATTATTTCACTTTTGTCTCATGATACAATTCTAACTGTATATGGCCATTTCTTTTTCTTTTTCTTTTTTTTTTATAAATGCCTAAACTGTGTAGGCACTCTCTAATTTGGAAAATAAATAAGCAAAATACATTATATGAAGGCATTCATGTCTTGAAGTGTAGACTGCAGAGAGAACGTGTGTGTGTAAAAAATTAGATGCAGTTAATCTCCAATTAGATAAACATGACTAATGTAAAGATTATTATTCAGCATAAATTACAAGCAGTAGTTTTGACAGGGACAGGAGGCAGAGAAATTCTCAACAGAAAAGGGCGAGTCCCTGACAAAGCCCCACCCTCAAGCCAAAAAGCCTGAGACAGTGGCCCACAGTGAGAACATAAATGTCACCTTTTCCTAAACCACCTTGGAGACAGCACAAACAGGGAATTGAGAGAGCCGATTTTTTGTGTATCTCTTCACAACTCCCTTTTCAGTGATGTCATGTTAATAGCTTGAGATCAGCCATGACGACATCATTTACACCTTGAAAATCAGCAAATATTACGAATCACAGCTTGGTGTATATTCGTGTGTGTTTGGGGGCAGGGGAAGACTAACAGTGATAAATTAACAAAATAACTGAATAAATGTCTGAATGAATTTGTTTATTGCAAAATGCTTATTATTAAGCTAGTTTATTTTCAAAGCCTTTGGACTTTAATAGAGTTCATAGAGGACAGATGATGTTGGAAATAATTTGTTGTGAACAACATATTTCATGAATTGCAAATGGCATCTGTTCTGATGATGAAAAGCAATCTAAACTTCATATTTCTGTATATATAATAACTTGGTGTATTCACAATCCCAAAGATTCATGAGTAAATAAAACACATAAGCCATTTATTCTTTAGTATTCTTAAAGCAAAAATGAATTTTTCATGCCTGAAAATCCATTCTTAGTTCATGGAATGCTCATTTTGCATCTCAGAAATGTACTTTTTATGAAGTCTAGGATAACAATAAACTATTTGCAATGTGACTTTTATTATTTAGTGGTTTGTATTTTAAAATGTGACATAAAACTTATGCAATATATATTATTTTACAGCTTTTTTGAGACAGAAAGGATTTCTTATCTTGAAAAAACAAACCTACCTAGCAACATTTTAATGTTTTCAGTATTAATATATTGGAGGAGTTTTGAAATCCTACTGCAGGAAACTGTTATTAAAGGGTCTCAATTATGTTATTTCTTATTACAATCAGTACCGACATAATTAATCTCCTTTTAGGGTGAATATTCCTAGCACTTACTAGCTGTAATGTGATAGCACCATTTTTAAAACATGAGAGGAAATTATAAATTATGACATCCTAATATAATATGAAGAACAAAAGCTTACATTTTCAGATGCATGTGAGTATGTGAAATAGAGTTTTCAAATGTTTTGATAAAATGTCTTTTCAGATTCTATCAGAGATAGAGAACAGATTGACAGCTTTCCAATTGCAAGTGGAATTTCCACAGTCCTTCACTGGTAATAGTGCATCATTGAATAATTGCTAAGAGTGTGAACTTTGGCTCTGCCACTTACCACATCTGAGATCCTGAGGGAGTTACTTAAGCTCTCAGTTCCACATTTTCTTCAACATGAGAAAAGTAATGGTATAAACTGCATAGGTTCTCATGATGATTAAATGAGAACATATATGTTTTATATATATATATATATATATATATATATATATATATATATATATATATATATATAACAATGGCTGGCACCTTAATTAGTAGGCATTGAAAAATTGTTAGCTTTTTTTTTTCTTTCCACTTTTCATTTACTTCCTCACTTACTCATTCTGTTGACACACATTCCAAAAGGACTTCTATGTGATGATCCTTGTCATGAAAAGTGGTATTGATGAGGTGAAATGTAATAAAGCCTTAGAAATATTTTAATTGTTTGAAGAAATTGAGAAATTCTCCAGAGTATTAAGCAGTAAAGTTGTATTTATACATGTTATTAATTGTTATCAATTGCTAGTAGTTTTCTATTCAGCCCTTTATACTTTGTATCTGCTCAGTCATTTCTTTCTGTTTCGAAGCAGTTACCAGCTGCAATTTGTTACTGGCTCCTCCTGTCTCCTATTAATAGGTTTATAAGTCAATACTCCAGTAAGAGATACTGCTGCAATTTAAATTAGTAATGATAAAATATTATGTAAGAAGGATGACTGCAGGGAAGTTGATACAAATATGCCTCGTTTTTCCCCAAGAAGCAGTTTATAAATAAAATGTGACTTGTTGATGTTTTGGTTCATTGTCATTTTATTTTCTCTAGATAAAATTTGCAGGAGTAAATGTTAAATAACAACTCCAACTTTCAAATGAGGAATGGCTTACTTATCTTTGAACCATTTAAGGAATGGATAAAATCAGCAGCTTTGCATCACTTTAAATTGCTCATAATTTCAATTTCATTTTCTGATTCCCTCTTATAGAGAATATTGTTTGACTGAGACACTGAACTGAAAAATGGAACAAAGGAGAACAGAACAGGAAGTCAGTTAGAATCATGAAGGTAGAATTGACGAGGGTAATCAGTTTACTGAAAATTATCTAAAGAAACAAATTTCACCCTCCATTAGCTTTAGTAAACACAGACGCAGGTGTGATACAGGATGCTGACTTCTTTCTCTTTTGGCTGCAATACAATATTTCAGGAGCATTATGTGTTACTTTACAGCGCTTTCATGCATTGGCAAATTTTACCTGCTAACTTTTGAAAGGAGTTCAACAGCAGGAGACTCAGAATATAAATTTATATTAATAAACATGACTAGTAGGATCAGAAAAAAATAATTAAGAGAGTCAAATATGATTGCTTCTGCTCTTCCAAGCCATCCTGTTAATTGTTAAGAGAAATTTATTATGATTAAATCAAAAGCATGAACAAACACATTTGACTAATTCTGTGTTGCTTAATAATTTAGCTGTAAGGTACTAAATCCATTTGAGTTTGAATATTTGAAGATTAATGTATGCAAAGGAAATTAGTGGACATTTTACTTGTTTAATATTTTATTATTTGAATATTCATAAGTTTATAGTCACTGCAGCATTTGATGTTACACAGAATAATTGACATACAAATATTATTTCTCACATGTATAAGGTAACATAAAAAGTTTTGATAAATAAAATAAAAAGTCCAAGAATAATATTTAAATGATAAGAATAAACATTTTCTTTTTGTAAGAAGCAACAAATTTTCACTGGTATGTAAGTGGATTAACTCAAACAAAATTCCATTTATTCCAATCAAATATATATTTTACAGTAACCAAAAATTCATTATTAAATTAATCCAGACTTGCAAATGAAGTGTCAGTTTGCACTTTGGATGCCTATGCCCAGATCATGGAGATTATTGAGGCTATTTGGTAAACAAAGTTTCTGGTGAATTAAGAAAAGAAAATCAGAAATACGTAACTATAATCCTTAGATAAGAATATATTAATTTTCCTCTGAAAATAGAAATTGTAGAATATAGATTATAATTGATTTTTGTAAACTCTAAGGCAAGAAACATTGACTATGCATGTATAACCCCAAAACAATACCTGCTCAAACAAAAGTAACACATTTCATGTGATTTTCAATAAGAAGAAATATTTTACAAGGTTTATGACAATACTTTTTCAATATCAGATAAATATTTCTTTACCCAAAAGAAAGCATCTGGAAATCAAGAGTTATATTTCTTGTTGTAGTTAACTGAGTTTTTCTTTAAGATATTTTGAGTTTTGAGGTTTCTTGTGTGAATATTTTGCATTTATTTACCCTCCGATATAAATGCATCAACTCCTACTGACAACTAAGAAATATGTTACTTTTTCATAGATTTTTCATTGAAATGATGATAGATTTATTTCTATTAGTGCAGTTATTTCAAACGCCTAAAACATTATTCCAATGTTTTCCATTTTAAAAGAAACTGATTTAGAAAAGAAACTATTTAACAACAGTTTTATTGTTTTTTGTTTGTTTGTTGTCTGTTTTGGTGTTTAGCCTTTGAACTTATCAATTCAGAATATGAGTGCTATCATAGAGCTGTTAAAATTTAAAAGTAGAAAATCCCTGTTTTGTAGGTTGTAATGGAGGAGGGGAACATATAATTTCATTAAAACTATACTTTTACCCATGATAAAGCCCCACAAATTAAATAAATGTTAAGTAGATTTGACTTTGACTGAATTTATATCACGTCCGTATAGCAAACATTGATCTGGTTTAAAACTGTATTCGAAAATAAATACATTTAATAAAATGCAGAAAATCAAATATATTATTTCTTAATTTTCTGGTCAAAACTAATAATAGTTCTTCATTTTGGAAAAGCAGAAACTACTGACCTATTTCATATAAAAGGAAAACTAGTTTTCTGTCTCACTTTGTGACCCAGGCTGGAGTGCAATGGCATAACCATAATTCACTGCAGCCTCAAATTATAGGCTCAAATGATCCTCCCAGTTCAGCCTTCCAAGTAGCTGGGACTACAGTCATGTGCCACCATCCACCAAGACTGGCTAATTTTTTTTTTCTTTTTTTTTGTAGTGATGGAGTCTCACTATGTTGATCAGGGTTGGGAAACTAGTTTTTAAAAGTTAGAAATTATAGGCTAGTTAATTATATGAGAAAATATTTATATATTTTAGATTTTTGTTCATTAACTCAGCAGGCACAATTATTGTCATGTCATCAAGACATCAAGAATGCAATTACTATTGCATAACAACATTGTAGAATAATAAAAGATAAAAGAAAACTATCTGGTAATTAACAACGAGAGCAACAATAATGAAATTAAGTTTTACTTTTCTTCTAATTATAAGAAGATAACATTCAAGTAAGTAGGAAATTGGGCTTTGTGTCAGTATGTTTGTTGCAATGAATATAAATTAGAAATTTATCCATCACTATCCATTATTTCATTTATGGGTTAATTTTAACAAAAAATAGAACTAAAGCATTTTTTAAAACAAATAAATTAACTGTATAGATGAAACATCATATTCATTAACTTCTCTTTAAATATGGAAAAGTAAAAATATCCTAAGACGTTCAGAAAATTTCGACACACTATTTCTAAATAATCCCAGGCCCTATTACTTAAGTGTTATCATGTTACAACTAGTTTACTTTCCTAACTGGGTAGATGTAAGGTTTATCTTCCTGTCAATTATTAAAAAGAACCCCCCTCAAGTTAGTTAAGTTTTAAGAAAATAAGTCTAGCTATACTAGAAAGTGGCTTTTAAACTTTCTGTTGTGTGAATTAAATTTTTAAAGAGATATAATGACAGCAATAATGTTACTTAAGTAAAACATAAAGCACTTCTTTTCTTGATATTTTAATGTGACTCTTTTTTTTAATTGGCGAACTGTTCAGAATGAAATTCTAATTTTTATTACTTGTTCCTCAGCTCAAATTTATTTGCTTTACATTTATTTTGGTATGCTTTATAAGACCTAGAGAATTGAAAATATTTTTATTAATGCAGTAAAGAATCTGTGTTTCATTGTTGCTGTGTTTTGAAGACCTAGAAGACTTGTATTTGAGTTCTGAGCCTTGAAGTTTTACAGCTGTATGATTTTATAAAAAGTTACTTTCTGTAAGTATTTACCTGTTTTAAAATAAATATACTATCACTCTTACAGAATTTATATTGAGAAATAAAAATAACCTATGTAAGTGCTTTTGGTAACTTGTAAACATTCCATGTAAACATTATTTATAGGCACTAAAAGGTATCAATCCTCATAAAAATGAAGTTCTATCAAAGATATTTTAATAGGTATGTTTCTTATGGAAGCTTTTAAAGTACAATAGAAAACACTGTACTAAAATTATAGCCAAAAGACACATAATATATTGCTTAATTAATTTAATATTTGTTTTATACACATAACATCTTGAAGCTGTTACAAATAATTAATACTTTTACAAATAAAAGGGGATAAGCTATGAATTACAAGTGACATAAAGGTTGTTATGATTTTGATGGATACTTCATTTTATGGCAATTTTATGAGGACTATATTTAAAACTAAATAAGATATGTCTTCATGTTAGGTGTGATTATGGAAGCTTAGTGGAGTTCTATAATTTCAACTAAGTTCTTGGAAGTCTGCCTTCTGGCTTCCTCATTGTAAATTGAGGATGACTATAATGATTTGGTATCCTAAAATGTAATGGTGAGAAGGAAATTAGATATTGGGTCCATAAGCAAACTTTGTACAAATGTAAGGAATCATGATTTTCATTATCTCCATTTTAAATTATCAGAAGTAACATTTGGAGGCCTAGTGAGTGTTTGAGATACTCACTGTTAGGCTGATTTTGGAAGATTTATTTTCATTTTTCATGATATAATAGCTCTTGCCATTTGTGTATGTGTATGTGATTTAAAAGTTCTGGGCTGGCGCAGTGGCTCATGCCTGTAATCCTGGCACTTTGGGAGGCCAAAGTGGCAGGGTCGCCTCAGTTCAGAAGTTTGAAACCAGCCTGGATGATATAGCAAGACCTTATCTCTGCTAAAAATTTTTAAAAATATAAAAATTAGCCAGCTTTGGTGGTGTTTACTTGAAGTCTCAGCTACTTGTCGGGGGATGCTTGAGCTAAGGAGACCGAGGTGGCAGTGAGCTATGAAAGAACCACTGCACTCCAGCCTGGGCAACAGAGCAAGATTCTGTCTCAAAATAATAATAATAATAATAATTAAAAAAGCAAAATAAAAGTTGTGTTTTTAGCTTCATTAACCATTTCACATACTTTTCTTGAGTTGCTATTTTCTATTTTTCAGCTTCTTGAATTAAATACTTACCTCATAAAATTTTTATATTTTATGATAAAATATTTTTTCCATTTATTTTGTCTCATTTTTGCTTTGGCCATATCTTATGTATTTTAATAGATTGAAATTCAAATGTAAATTTATGATTATTTTTCTCTAATCCGAGCACTTTGAAATTCATTGCACTACATATGTACAAACACACCCTCATAGGCATATGCAGTAAATGTGGAGAAAGTTTGATGAAAATATGCATAGAAAATGAGTACAATGCATTCTATTCACTTTTATTCTATTGTATTTACTTTTTAAACATATGCTCATAATATTAGAATAATTATGGTTTAAAAAGATAACCACTGTTTTGAAAAATATTTTTGAAATATGTAAATATGTGTTTATCTTAAAAAAATAAGTATTTTTTTCATACGTGCATGGAACTATTACAGAGATACATTAAATTGCAATATACAAATAGTCATTTGTAGGTACACACTCAATACCTATGTTTAGGGCTTAGACCACACTATTTTTTAAGTGATTTGACTTGGTGAGAATTTAGAAACAATCACTTTCATTAGCTAGACAATATTTTAAATAAAAAATTAATTCTTAGAACCAAATCAATCTTAGACATTTGCTCACACCTTCCCCACCCCATCAATAATCTTTCCTTTTGCATACCTACTGAAAGCGAAATGCATGGTAATCAGGTTCATTAGGCTGTGTAATTAATTTGCACACTCATTTTCTACATTTAAAACTGTCATTCTTTTTAACCTAATGTTTTATTTAAAGTGCTGTCAGTCATATTTTAATAGACTTGTATTCTACTTTATCGTTGAAAATACAACTGATAATGTATGAATAAAAGAATGATGAATGAAGGGAAAATATCTTTATTTTAAAACTTTATGATAGTAAATTAAACTGGTAAAAATAAATTTACAAATAGCTTTATAGCACTTTCAGTCTAACTCTAAACCTTAACAAGGGAACTTTGTATTTCAACTCCTTTACACCTTATTTATTTATTTATTTATTTTTGAGACGGAGTCTTGCTCTGTCCCTAGGCTGGAGTGCAGTGGTGCAATCTCGGCTCACTGCAACATCTGCCTCCCAGGTTCAAGGGATACTCCTGCCTCAGCCTCCCAAGTAGCTGGGACAACAGGTGCATGCCACCACGCCCAGCTAATTTGTTTACTGTATTTTAGTAGAGACGGGGTTTCACCATGTTTGCCAGGATGGTCTTGATCTCCTGATCTCGTGATCTGCCCGCCTCGGCCTCTCAAAGTGCTGGGATTACAGACGTGAGCCATAGCGCCTGGCCTCGTTATTTATTTATATGTTTATTGCAAAATAATGATTTTAAAATGGCAATTTTGATATAATTTCACATAATCATAAAACAGAGTGCCTGAATTATCTATTGTTGGGTATCCCAAAATTTAAAACAAGTATTTAATTTTCTCACAAATTTGTGGGTCAGATATTTTGGCTGTGCTGTGCTCAGCTGGGAAGTTCTTCTGGTTGTCTCGGCTAGGTTCATTGATGAATCTGCCATGATAATGTGGTATATTATCTAACATTGGCTCATTCACATGTGTAGTGTTTGATGCTGACACTTCACTGAGCCATTCTATCCATGAGGTCTCTTATCCTTACAGAGACTGCACAGGGCTTTTCATAGCTCTTTCAGAGCAACAAGTAGGTGAGAGCCAAGATAAAAATGTCTTTAAAATTGGTTTCAAAAGTCTTGCTACATCACTTCTGTGGCACTCTGTTGGTCTAAAAAAGTAACAAGGTAAGCTCAAATTCAAAGTAGTGAAGAAATAGGCATTATTTCTTGATAGGAAACACACTAAAGTCACAGTCATATTTCAAAGAATGTATATTGAGGGGTAAGATGAATATGTGAACATTTGTGCCATTTACTGTATAATGTATTCCAACTTTAATAATATTGGGATATCTTTTCATGGAAAATAAAATTCTCATGTACTTATGTTGACATGAATTTTAAAATAATTTTAATTATATGCTGTAACAACCTGTTTGTAAATTCCTTCTTTATATAATTTTCAATGCAAAATCAATTTATAAAATTACATTAAACAAAATTAAAAACATATAAAATCTAATTAAATACATGATTTCATATTATTTATGATATTTTCTTGCTGGGTTCAATTCTCCAGTCTAGACTTAATAAAACACACATTTGTATTTTCTTTATTTGTTTCCTGTTGATTTAATTCTTTGATATTTTGAGAATGATGTACTAGCATATTAATAAGCATTATCATTGCAGAATAATAAATGTCTTCTTTTAAACAATAAGTTAATATAACCAATTATTGGCTATGCTTTGAAGGTGCAATCTGTTGAATACCTAGAATGTTGTACTGGATAAACAGTAGTGTTCCATGAACATTTCCTCATGAAATACTGTTTTGGACATAGTATTTTGGCAGTAAGAATATGTCACCTGTTATTCTTGCAGCATCTTTAGTTTATTTTATAGAAGTACTGGCATCTAGGTATGTGTCTTTTCTTGGAGCCACTGGTGTAATCTTTTCTACAGTATGGACTTTGTTTACCTGATACTGAAGCCAACACACATGGAAACAGAGCTAAAGGGTACAAAACATAGTTTCTTGAGGACACTTCTGACATCCGGAATCCTGCATGCATGCTTGATATCAGAGACACCTCTGGAAGTCTCAGATTCATAAACCACTAGGCTTTCAATTTTACTTAAGTCACTTGAAATTACTTTTCTATCACAAGCCACAGAAATAATACTAACACATGAAACATTTATCAGTACTTTTAATGTTACTACACTGTCACAAGTGTGTATGTCGCAGCTATTGACATTATAGAGATCATGCATAAGCTCACTGAATGCCTATTCGGTGCAATGGGCATATTATATCATTGCTGTTAATTATTTGGAATACCGTAAGAGTTCTATTCTAGAGCATGGATGATACCATTTACTTATTACTTGTCACGGGGGCATGTTTTACATATTAAATTGAATATTTCTCTTTATTTCAACTGAAATTTATTTTTTCACATTTTTATTTTCATTGTGTCAAAATACACTTTCCACAATACATCTTATAGAATTAAAATGCAAATACCTTACAACCAGGTTTATCAGAGACACAGCAAAATTTAGTATTACCACATGACAATTTCTTTTGTTGATATTGAGACACGAATAGGTGAGCAGCTAGACATGCTTGCGATCACATAAAACTGTGTGGCTTTATAATGAATTGTACATCATTAGTTAAATATTTTTTATTATTAAGGAAGATTTGAGAAACACTAGTTGAGTAATCTATCTTAACACATAAATATATGTAAATTATTTTTTATATCAATAAGTAAAACGTCAATCAGATTTTGCAAATTTTCATGTTTCCCACTTCCTAATAAATCTCAATAACATGTTTTATTGATCATCTTTATTAATTACTATTGCCAATTGTTATAAAGAGGTTTATATTTCATCTATTTAAAATGTAATCTCTAAATGAATGGACTGGCAGTATAGACATAGAATAAGAAGCAAAACAAGGAGAGGAAGATAAGGATGTTGAGGAGGAAGAAGAGGCAATACAATGAAGATGAAAAGGGAAGGAAAAGAAAATATAAAAGAAAAGGTAAAAATAGCACAAAATGCCAAGTTTTCAGATTATATCTTTTTGATCATTAAAAAGTCAGGAAACAACAGGTGCTGGAGAGGATGTGGAGAAATAGGAACACTTTTACACTGTTGGTGGGACTGTAAACTAGTTCAACCATTGTGGAAGACAGTGTGGCAATTCCTCAGGGATCTAGAACTAGAAATACCATTTGACTCAGCAATCCCATTACTGGGTATGTACCCAAAGGATTATAAATCATGCTGCTATAAAGACACATGCACACGTATGTTTATTGCGGCACTATTCACAATAGCAAAGACTTGGAACCAACCCAAATGTCCAACAACGATAGACTGGATTAAGAAAATGTGGCACACATACACCATGGAATACTATGCAGCCATAAAAAAGGATGAGTTCATGTCCTTTGTAGGGACATGGATGAAGCTGGAAACCATCATTCTCAGCAAACTATCGCAAGGACAAAAAACCAAACACCACATGTTCTCACTCATAGGTGGGAATTGAACAATGAGAACACTCGGACACTTGAAGGGGGAACATCACACACCGGGGCCTGTTGTGGGGTGGGGGGAGGAGGGAGGGATAGCATTAGGAGATATACCTAATGTAAATGACGAGTTAAAGGGTGCAGCACACCAACATGGCACATGCATACATATGTAACAAACCTGCACGTTGTGCACATGTACCCTAGAACTTAAAGTATAATATATTTAAAAGAAATCTAAGCAAAAAGTATAGATTTAGAATAGTTTTACTTGCCTAATAACAACAGGAAAATGTCCGTAAATTTTATTTCAAATTTTGTTCTGTTTTATTTCTTGGTCTTCTTCTTTGGAAATTCCAATTATGTACCTACACATACACATTCAGTGGAACTATTATGAATGAAAGATAATTGTCCACATTAAGAATATCTTATTTAATTTGTTTATGGATGTTAAAAGTAAATAAGCCATCTTCAGTTAGTCAAGCAAAGTAACCTAATTATTTTTAAGTGGAAAAAATCAGGCTATCAAATTTTATACAAATACAATGATATCAAAAGAAAACTCTGCAATAACTTCATAATATTCCATGGAAAAATGTGGAAGGTGAGAATTTTTTTTATCACAACAAGCTATTTTACAAATATAAATTCGACAGTTCTGAAAAACTATACCAAGGAACATTTTTTCCCTAACTTATTCTTAAGGAAATCATTTGAAATTTTAACTGTCTCCACATAAAGGTAACCTGTGAAGCTTCAGCAAAATATCAGAAGTAAACTTTGGTACACTTAATTGCACAGCTAAGATGAAATCCCAGTTGGTGCAAGTGTAACAGAATAGCATGCTTGTGTGTGTGTGTGTCTGTGTGTGTGTGTCTGTGTGTATTGCTTCTCAGCCAATGTCTAAGTCATGCTGGAAAACAGTAGAACATAAGAGAAATGGAAGATAGACCATAAAATCAGCTTGCTTACTGTTTCTTTTGTAATGGGAGCCATAAGGAATCATGAAAATATGACTAGTGAAGTCAAATGTTATATGTACATTTAAAAGTATGAAGAAAAGCACAAAGAACAATAATCCTTCTGATTAAAATAGAGTGATGGAAAAGAGACAATAGAGGGAGAAGAAAGAGAAAAAAGCTAATAGGAAAATGAAGGAGATAAATATATACTGAACAACATCATAGGTTGTATCAGAGGTTCCCCAAATTAAATGCAGGTTAACAATTTATTAGAATGAATGACAGCAGCTAGAAAAGCAGTTATGCTACTGTTTATAATTCATTACAGTGAGAGGAAATAGATTAATATCAGGGAAAATGAAAGGCATATAGGATATGGGGAGAAACGAGGCATGTGTTTCCATTTCTCCCATCCCCATGGAGACACAGAGGCAGCACTTAATTCTCCCAGCAGTAATGTAGTATTGCCACCTGAGTTGCTCACCGGAGCCTTGGTGTCCTGTATTTTTGTTTGAGGTCAGTCAGGAGGCATGGAGGACCCACATGACTGACCTTAACTACTCAGTGTCTAGTTCTTCATTTTCCCCAACCAAGAGGTCTAACTGATGCAGCATGGCCCGGGACCCCAGGTGAACAAAAACATGCATTTGCCATAAATCACATTGCTACAATAAACTAGCTTGCACGGCCCAAGGCCTCAGGTATTTAACAATACTCTTCAAAGACACTCATAACAGGCAGAATATTCCAACAGTTTACAGTTTATAGGCTACCTCTCAGAAACCTGTCAAAAGTGAGTCCTTTCTTTGGCATGTCCAGAATTTGAGCACCACAAAAGTCCACTGAGTTAATCTATTCCTATAAATACACATACACACACATATACACATATACATACATAACTGTGTATACATACATGTACACGTATAAAATGAAATACAAATCAGTATATACATGAGCATATATATAGCTTTATATTTTTAAGTGTCTGCTTACAGAGAGAAAACGTAATATAAAATCACTGTGGATCAAAGAGCAAAATAACTATCACGTCAATAATTAGATGTAAGTTAAAATTAATTATAAGAAAAATAAACATTTATTTTAGCAATGTATGTTATTTTAAAAATTAAAACAAATTACTATAAAAATTAAAAAGCTAATTGTTTGAAAGAAGTGAAGTAGATAAACGGATAACTCCATGACTACTAATAAAAATATTTTAAAAGATAAAAATAACTGCCCAAACTTTAGTAATTAAAACAAACTCATAGCATTACTTTATTTAACTTTATGCAGGTACGTTTAAAAAATTGGATGAGATAAGTAATCTAGAAAAATATGTTATCAAAACCAACTTATAATAGGTTTACTTACAATAAAAATACAGCAACTTTTTTTTAAAGAACTAACCTTTCCAAGTCCTGAGAGTAGATGCTTTCCTGGGAGAGTTCCACTAAGCATGTAAAGATTAGAGAATTCTTGGCTGGGCGCAGTGGCTCACGCCTGTAATCCCAGCACTTCGGGAGGCCGAGGCGGGCGGATCACTAGGTCAGGAGAACGAGACCATCCTGGCTAACGCGGTGAAACCCCGTCTCTACTAAAAATACAAAAAATTAGCCGGGCGTGGTGGCGGTTGCCTGTAGTCCCAGCTACTCGGGAGGCTGAGGCAGGAGAATGGCGTGAACCCGGGAGGTGGAGCTTGCAGTGAGCCGAGATCGCGCCACTGCACTCCAGCCTGGGCGACAGAGCGAGACTCCGTCTCAAGAAAAAAAAAAAAAATTAGAGAATTCTTATGCTATATAACACTTTCAAAACAGAGAAAGAAGGAAAATTGTAATATTAGTTGTAAGTAATGAATAATATTGTAACCAAAACCTAACAGATTGTTTTGTTTTGTAAAAGAAGTAACTGTAAACTCACCTCAGTAACTGATATTAACTTAAACAATCTTAAAATGTTAGGAAAGAGAATTTACTGAACTGTTATAACATGATCAAGTTAGTTTGCCCCAGAAATGCAAAAAAGATTCTATAATAGAAAATGTTTGACAATTGTAGTAATAAACTTCATGAGATACATCATGGGACCACTTTCACAAACAGTGAAAAGGTATTTCAAAAAATTAAACTCATGCTGGATAAAAACATTTAAAACATCAACAGATTCTTAATGAGATAACACAAATCAGCCCAAAAGCCATCACCCTTTACAACAGGGAAATGACGAAACACCTAAAACACATCCACTAAAGCCAAGACCAAAACGGTAACAAGGGCTGGCTATCATGCTTACTATTTATCATCTTACAGAAAATATTAGCTATATTAGACAAGGAAGAAAATTTTTAAAGTAGCAATTGGAAAAATGGGTAAAACTGTTGGTATTTGCCAGTGTATGATGGAATCATTTTCAAAATCAAGTGAAAAGAAAAATAAACAATGAGAGGAGAGAATAAAGTAGTAGAGTATGCAAATGATGTATAGAACACTGCTCCCTTACTATGTGTGCCTGTGCGTTTATCTATTAATCTACATAATTATAATCATACGTGGATATACTTAATAGATATGTATATATAGTAAAATAAATAATACAAGAAAACATGTATTTCACAATTTAAAAAAGAATAAAATACTTAGGAAAAGTAGCCAAAACTATGAACTGTCATCATAAGGAAAAAATGAAAACACTACTGAAAGTATACAAAAAATACTAATTCTACTTTATGATATTTAATTAGAGAGATATTTTAAACTAGATGATCAAAATTTGTCCCATATTCTGAGTTGGGAATCTGATTAAAAAGTCAAGGTTACTGGAGTTACTGATGCAATATAGTTGTGGTGTCTGTCTCTGGGTGAACAATATTCACTCTAAGAATGTTTTCTGAATTCTAACCTTCTTTCCCCACCCCCTCATGTGATACATCTGCTTTAGAAATAGCAAAAATGAACAAAGCTTGCATTTTAAAAACAGCAGGAATAGAGGTTCATTTGTTATTGCACAAAGATTTATGTCAGGCAAACATAAAGGATGCTAACCTACTCTGGTGGACAGTAACGCCTACATCTGAATGCTACTGTGGTTTGCCTGATTCTTTGAAAACTCTCACAGTCAGAATATTCACCATGGGATGGCAATCTGACAACTGGGTGGGTTTAATGTCACTTATTTTTACAAAAGGCTAAAAATTGCCCCAAGCAGCTCAGATAAACAGCATCTTTTCCTCCTAATGTTTCTATTATAATTTTTTTGCTCAATAAAACATATTTTTCAAGTGAGTAATACTATTTCCATTCTATTGGTACTCAGAAATATCTATGAAAATTAAATTATAAGTTCATTAATGGTTATATAAATATTCTGTGTATGTATATTATACAGCAGTGGTTCCCAACCTTTTTGGTACCAGGGATCGGTTTTGAGAAAGACAATTTTTCCACAGACCCAGGGTTGGGGGTGGTTTCAGGATGATCAAGCACATTACATTGATTGTGAACTTTATTTCTATTATTATTACATTGTAATATATAATAAAATGATTATATAACTCACCATAATGTAGAATAAGGGGAGCCCTGAGCTTGTTTTCCTGCAACTAGACTGTCCCATCTGGGAGTGATGGGAGGCAGTGACAGATCATTAGGCATTAGATTCTCATAAGGAGGGTGCTACCTAGATCCCTCGCATGTGCAGTTCATAATAGGGTTTACAATGCTATAGAATCTAATGCTGCCACTGATATGACAGGAAGTGGAGCCCAGGCATTAATGCCAGTGATGGAGAGTGTCTGTAAATAAAGATGAAGCTTCATTCACTTGCTCACTGCTCACCGCCTGCTGTCTGGGCCAGTTCCTAACAGGCCACAGGCCAGGGGCTGGGGACCCCTGCTATACCTCATCTTAATTTAAAGGTAGTACTAACTTCAGTCTTATGACTTTCAACAGGCATGTGATAATGAAGCTTGATGCTGAAGTATGCATTATCTGGGTCTTGGAATAGGAGTCTGGTTTACTCCTCTCAATGTATGCAAAGAATGAATATTATTTTAATATCACTCAATGCTAACATAAATTATAGCATAAAGGATAGCATCATAAATTTTTAATCCACGCTGCCTAATTTCAATCCTAGATACTCAACATATGACTGTGTGACCTCAGGCAAATTACTAAACTCTCTGCACTAAATTTATTCATCTGCTGGATGAGGATAATGAAAGTAAGTCCTCAAATAATGGTTGTGAGAATTAAAGGAGATAATAAATGTGAAGCAATCAGAAGAGTATGTGGCACGTAATCAGCACTGTGTTCGATTTTTTGTTACCGATATCATTATCATCATCATCAAGATGTGGCAATACTAAAGTGACTAGCCATGGAGCACTAAAGAGGCATAATTCGATTGCCTTGTTCTTTTAAAGTATAGTTCTGTCTATTTCTTGCTATTAAACTAACACTTTTTCAACAGTCAATAACATTGGGATAAATTTTACAGTTTCTAGAATTTCCATCCTAATGGAGCTTTTATTTTGCTAGCCATAGGCCACATCAGTTCTTGATGTGCCTGGTCCTTAAACACAAAATAAAGCATCTTAGCTATCAACTTTTGGGTCAAGAGAGTAGACTTATTTTCCCATTTTCTCTTCCTCTGCATTCCTGAAAATCACTATTCCACTCTTTGCTTCTATGTATTTGAGAGCCTTTTTAAGTTTCTATATACAAGGAGGATTGTGTGATATTTTTCTTTCTTCTTCTGGTGAATTTTACTAAGCACTATGTCTTCCAGATTCATCCATGTTGCCACAAATGGCAGTATCTCCTTTAATAAGGTTGAGTAATATTCCACAATGTTATTCCATGATATATATATTTCTTTATTCATTCATCTGTTGACAGACACTTAGGTTTTTTTCATGTCTTGGCTATCAGACATCTCTCTGAGTTGCTGATTTCATCTCTCAGCAGAGAGATTGCTGCAAGATGTAGGTCAAAGAGTAAAAAAACTTGCAGTTATATAGGATGAATAAGTCTAGAGATGTAATTCAGTCAGGAAGACTATAATTTATGGTAATTTCCTGTATTTTGAATATTTGCTAAGAGAGTAGATTTTAGGTACTGTTACCGCCAAAAAAAAAAAAAATGGGAAAAATCAAGGAGATAACTATAGGAAGTGTTGGATATATGAGTTTGCTTACCTGTAGCAATTACTTCCATATATATACATATATCAAAACGTCATGTTGTAGCTCTTAAATATATACAGTAAAAATCCGTTAATTAAAGAAAAAGAAAGAGAGAGAAGACTGAGCACATATTGGGATCTACCCACTTTTTACTGCCTCAAACACATTAATGTAGGTGGGATACATGTTAAAGCACTTTAAACTAAATTCCCACTTGAAAAGGGAAATCTCCAGAACAAAATTGAGATGAAACTTATAATAACAACATTGGAGAAAAAAAGTTGTAAAATAAATGTGGTGTAGACCTCAAATGTGGACATTAGGAATTGTGGTTTCAAAGACATTGTTAGACAGGGGCTGGGGCCACCACCCTAGAGTACCAAAGATGATTTACTCTGTATTCATTGCAGACCAGAGAGAGGATATGCACAAGTGGGGATTCTACTAATTCTTTAAACATTAGACTTCTTTGCAGAAAAATATAAATTGTGTTGCTCATTACAGGCATGAGTTGTATTCCTGATCCAATGGAAAAACTGATTCAAGGCCGGAGAATACTTGAAGATCAGGACAAAATAACAAACACAAACACTATACACAAGCAGAATATAAACCACCACTACCCATGGTATATGCTGAATTCACCTCCTGGGGAAGATGTAATTCAGGGAAGATAAATTCATAGCAAAGAAACACACCTACATGCACAGAAGTGAGAAAGCTGAAAATCATGGAAAACATTGTAGTCGCCACCCCAAATGTGATAATTTACGCCCAATATGGGACATTACTAAAAAATTAAACATGCATCAATTTTTAAAAGAAATAAAATTAATTCACATTATTCATAGAACACAAAGGATTATTATACGGTAAAAACTACATATTTAAAATAATTAAAGATAAAAATAATTATTGATATCTAAAGTATATTAGATGTCAATACCTAAAATATTATTTTACCTAAAATAATTATTTTACTTACAATTAAATTATTTAATTTTAATTTAATAATTAAATTATTTTACCTAAAATAATTAGTGATATCTAAAGTATATTGAGTTCTTAACATATTCCTTATTCTAAAGTCTTTCTATGATGTATTCCATGTAAATCTTATCAGTTTTACAGTTCTTGAAACTGAGTCAAGAAGATGAGACAATGGCAAATGTAACTGGCAGAGTCTTTGAGGACGTATTTAAATGTAGATTTTAATATCCACTTTTATAACAATCATTTACAAAAGCTTAAAGCAAGGCACATTGTATTCTCTGAAGCCACTTTTGTGGTCAGCCAATCTGATAAAATTCAAGTGACCTGCCTTTATGCTAAAGTAAGGCATAGAGGATAGAATGGTCAGCTTGACTTTTATACTTCCCATATATTCATGTTTCAGCCTAGTATCTGAGATAAATCGTGATTAGCTCTCATTGTTGTGGAAAAGAAACACCAAAAATTGTAATATTCATAAAAATGTGCTAAGTATAAATAATATACACAATTGTTTTCAGATCAATTTTTAGAGAAAATTCATAAGCTGTGGTAGACATTCTGTGCAATATATATGTATATTATAAATATATATTTATTTGTATTTAATATTGCTGGGAATAAATATATGCGGAAAATTCATATTTTAAATCTCAGCACAAACATCTCAATGATAAAAAAGCATTTGGATTTTGAATGAATGTATTTTTGCTTTTGTTGCTTTTCTTTTGTAAGGTAAGGTAATTGCTTTTGCCATTCCATTCGAAATTCAGATGTATGCCTCACAGACCTTAAGCCAAGCTTATCAATTGGGTTACTCTAGAATGTCACAGTACCCCTCAAGATTCCTAGTAGGAGACATTCTTTTTCATTCACTACAAATGACATATTAAAGCCATTTTTATATACTTCAAATCAAATAATCAATGTGATTTAGAAAATATAAAACTATAATTTCTGACCGATTTGTTTCTTTTATTTTCACCCTTCCAAGTTTTATCTTCACCGTAAGCATATGCTAGTTTCAGCAAGAATTGAAGTTTATTGTTAGCATTTATCCCCACCTCAACTTTTGATTCCTTATTACCCTCTTTTTAGCATTCATATTTCAGGTGTCCTGTTGCCCCTTTCCATTCTCTGGTCTCACAATCTTTTTCTACACTTTTTCTGCATCTTTTCAAAGTATTGCTGTGGATCTCTAACAGTGTATTCAGTATGCATACAACATTCATTTATTAACATGGTTATTATATTAATATGTAGACCAACTCATGATCACCTATTAATGGTTATAGACAGCTGATCAATTCTTCTTCCAGTTAAGATATGAATTAAACAGAGATTTCCTAGCTATCACTTTTAACTCCACGTACTTAGCTATGACAATCCTCTTGCATGAGGCAGGTGTTATTTGACCCAGTGACACCTGCTGAGAGAGGACATTTAAGTGCTGTGCCTAGGGAGTGAGCTAGCTACTTTGGACCAATAAAACTTTGGGGAAACTATCAAAAAGATGCACTCAACTCAGCCATTTATTTGTATAAATTAGTGGCAGTTCTGTGCTCCATTTGAGAAAAACTAACTAGAGTTAATAGTGCTCTTCTTTTCCCATGGCTGATTAAAAGATGACAGCTAGAAATTATCTTTAGAGTATGGAGAGCCCCATATGATGGATGCAGAGGAAATAGATGTGTGTGGTCTGGTACAATGGCCTTCCAACTTTTTGGCACCAGGGACCAATTTCGTGGAAGACAATTTTTCCATGGATGGGTTGGAGGAGAGGGGGGATGGTTTGGGGATGTTTCAAGAACATTACATTGATTGTGCACTTTTTTTCTATTATAATTACATTGTAATATATAATGGAATAATTATACAACTCACTATAATAATCAGTAGGAGCCCTGAGCAACCTAGGTCTCTTGCATGCCCAGTTTACAAGAGGGTTTATGCTCCTATGAGAATCTACTGCCCCCACTGATCTGATGGGATGTGGAGCTCATGTGGTAACATGAGGGATGGAGAGCAGCTGTAAATACAGATGAAGCTTTGCCCTCTCACTCACCTCCTGCTGTGCAGCCCAGTTTTTAACAGACCAGTACCAGTCTATAGCCTGGGGGTTGGGGAATCCCTGGTCTAGTAAATATCCCAAATATCAGTTCAATTTTTATCTGAAAAATTCTACTCTATTAAAGCCAGATAAAAAAAAATGACATTTACTGGGCTTAGTATATTGTCCTTCTTCAGTAAAAGCCCTTTATTTTCATTATATTTTAATTGCTTTTTGCCTATTTTCCTACAGGCTCTGTGAAGAAAGTCTCCTCTTTCATTTTTTCCACTGTAGTGCTAGGTACAGAGTTTGAAACATAGAAGATGGTGAGTAAATACAAATGGAGGGATGTACAGCTTTAAAATATCTATATTCTTTCTGCAGCTCTAAACTCAACAATCATGAAAAGTTTAAATAGTTTAGAGTGTATACAAATGTTACACTTTGAGATTTCAAGCCTTCTGGTAACAGATACATTTTCTCTAATTTTTTAAATTTAAAAATTAAAACTTTTCAAAATTGCGAAGTCAACTAGAGGCAAATGTCCCTGAACTAATGCTATTGTATCAGTGATATGTAACACTCATAAATGAGACTCTCAGGATTAGATTATTATTAAACCAACCATTGGTATACTCAAAGTAACCATTTTCATGCTAATAAAACATATTTTCTGTTATTCAGAATTGTTTATGTGGTCAGAGGTATATAACGATCAGGTCATTGGGCAATAACAGTTATATGTCCAGTTACAAGAAAAATAAGGAATGACTTGTCAGCAAGTCACTTCTGTTAACTAAAAATCCTCATTCAGGTAGAAAATAGCTCATTTTGGGAGAAAATAATATATTTGAAATAGAAAACATTTCTTGAAATAATATAGCATGTAAAATGCAGGAAACAAATTTCACTGAGAAAGAAAACATTAAGTTTGTTTATGAAGTAAGTTATTTATGAAAAAATATTAGCAAAAAGGTATTGTGAATTGTTCACTAAAACAGCAGCTAGATATTTACATTATCAAATAAAGTTTTAAATGTGATAATTTAAAAGTATTTACATGTAGTTCAGTGAATTTAGCTTTATAAATACATAAATATAAGATGAATTAGAATGTGCTTTGAAAAAAATGAGCATCTTTTTTATGAAAAATATTAGTTCTGTGTACATTTTCTATCTGATGTTATTTCAAATAAACTTTGTATTGATTATAAGGTTGAGGACATTTGAAATAACAAGGAATCATATGATAAAAAGACAAATCATGCAAGCATATTTTAATCGTACATACAGATTTATTCAGCCTTTTATACTCATTAAATAGCTGTCCAATCTGGATATGAGGATCTTTTTCAAAGGTACCTTACAATAAATATATGCAGAATTTTATGCAAAAATACAGCATCAAAGAAAACATATGGAATAAAAATAGTTATTATAATATTATTTGAAGAACAAATAAAAAAACACTAAAGAAAAAATAAGTAAAAGAACTTGTAAAGCGAAGTTGAATATGTGCCACATAGAAAAATATATTCCTAAATCACAATGTTTGTGATCAAATGTTTTCATAATCATAGATCCTCTTGTAATATAGGTGTTAAACATTTTTTTCAACAAAATACTTCAAAGGCAGTATAGACACTTTGGGTTTCTTATGAATTTCCTTTTTGTCTCTCTCCCAGAACATGGTTCAATAAAACATGTTCAACAAAACCTTGGAGCTATTATTCCAACACTATTCTATTCTTGATTTTCACAATTTTACTTTTCATTTGATAATTCAACTATGTTGACAAAGGAATAATAGAGATCAACAGGATATGAAATGACTGAAAGATTAGATATGTTAAATCTTGATATTTTATAGTATAATCTTAAATTGAACCAAAATCTGATCCAGGAAATAAAGGTAAAGTAAGGTGTTGTGAAATAAGACAATTCTACTGTGATCTTGTTGACTTAATCTTGCTGTCAACTAACTAGTTCATTTCTCATTGTAATTCTAAATTTCATTTATCAAGAAGTAAAAAGTTTGAAATGTTAGTAACTGGCAATATTCCAATTTCAGAACTCAAAAAAAAGCCATGTTTTGAGGATTATTGGCTTTTTGCCTTGTTTGAATAAAACATTAAATCCCATGCCATCAATTAATAGCAAGAGTAGGCAAATGTTCAAACACTGTAATCTATTATGCACTTTTAAATGATCCTACCATTTACTGGATATTTATTATAGGTCATTATATTCCCAATCTCATATAACCTTCAAAAATAGTTGATACAGAGGTTATATCATTTCTTACAATCAATGAAACTGAGTCTCAGAGGAGTACAGCACTTTTCCTGGATGAGTAGTGATATAGTTAGACCAGAGAGACTTCTGAGAAGGTGATGAGGTAGGAAGCATCAGAAACCTGTCTCCCTACCTTGAAAACAATTGCACATGCAGAATTTGTCTGATATTGTTATTTTAGAACTCTGGAATATACTAAAGGTTGTCCACTTCCAGGGGGAGCCTTGGATGGTAAATTGTGGTTAATTTTAGTTCTTAGCACAGTGGTAGCCAACTATCCCCCTCCTCTCAGCCACATGTCAGGCAGTTAGTTGTTCGTATGTTTCTCACACCTAGAGTAGCTTGCATCTAGCTTACAGAAGCCAAAAAAGAAACCTCTTCTACAAATTTTTGGGACCTGTTCTCTGATCAATGATTCTTGCTGCTTCTGGTCACAGAGGTAGAGACAAAAAAGCAGAAACCATTATTTTTATACCCACCCACAATTATTGCACGCCTCTCTTACTCTGAGTGAAGTAATTTCCAGGTGATGTAATGGGTTGGTGCTTTCTTCCTCCATTCATTTTTCCCTTTCTCCCACTTTGGGAGCCAGATATAGACATGCAGGACTTTCAAAAACAATCATATACATGACGGAAAATGACAAGCTCACCATGCCTGCCCAGTGGAAGGTGCAGTCTCAGAGAAATACTTGAGAAGACCTTGAATTTACACCACTGGCTGAATCTCAGCAGAGATAGCCTATGATAATCAAGAAAGCGTAAACAAAAAAATGGCACAATCTGGGGAGGAAATAGAATTAATTTCTAGTCACTATATCATTAAATTTAAATGTACAGGTTTCAACAACAACACCACCACCACAAGGCATACAAAGGAATGGAAAAGTATGTTCCATTTAAAAGAAGAAACAACAACAACAACAACAAAACAGAAACTGTTCTTGAAAAATATCTGATGACTGATCTACACAGGCCTTAAAACAACTATCTTAAAAATACTCAAAACACTAAAAGAAGATGTGAAGAAAGTCAAGAAATATATGAACAAAATAGAAATATAAATAGAGATAGTAATTCTAAAAATAAACCAAAAAAATTCTGTAACTCAAAATTATAACAAGTAAAATATTTACTAGAGGGATTCAAAAGCAGTTTAAGCAGGAAGAAGGAGTCAGCAAACCTGAAGCTAGGATGGTGAAAAAGAGGATTAAAAAAATGAAGGAGTGTGTACAGAATATAAGGAACCTGGGGAATACTATCAAGTGAGTGAACATATACATTATGGAGTCCCAGAAAGAGAGAAAAAAGAAGGAAGTGGGGAGAATATTTAAAGAAATAATGGCTAGACTCTTCTCAAATTGAATGGAAGACATGAATGTTAACATTCAAGAAGCCTAACAAACTCCCAGTAAACTCAAAGAGAACACATCAAGACACATTATAATTAAACTGTTGAACGTAAAAGACAAGGAGAATTTTGAAAGCAATAAAACAGAAGTGACTCATCACATACCAGGGATCAGCAGATTATCATAATATATTTAGATTTAGATTTAGATTTGATCAGAAGATGTGTCATCAGAAATCTTGGAGGCCAGAAGACACTGAGCTGATATATTCAAAGTACCAAAAACAAAAATAAAAATAAAAAATGTGCCAACTAAGAATTATCTGGCCAAATTGTTCCTAAAAATTGTGGAAGTAATTAAGGCATTCTCAGATAACAAAAGCTGGGGAGTACGTTACTACTAGACCTGCCCAATAAGAAATACCAAAAAGCATACTGCATGTTGAAGTCAAATGACACTAGACAGTAACTTGAAGCTGTATAAACACATGAGGATTTGGCAAAGATAAGTACAAGACCAATTACAAAAGCTAATACTATTGTAACTCCGCTTTTTTTCCTCAACATAATTTAAGAAACTAAAAAAGTTCAAACAAAAACAAAATAAAAAAACTTATCTGAAAACTGGTATTACTGTTTCCTGGTTTGTAATTTCAAAATTGGTTTTCTGCAAAATTTGAGACTAATGTGTTAAAAATAATTATTAATTTATGTTTCTGGACATACAATACATAAAGACATAATTTTTGTAATATCAATAGCTGAAAGAAGTAGAGATATAGCTATTAAGTAAGCAGAGTTTTTGTATGTCATTCAAGTTAAGCTGGTATAAATTCTAATTAGAGTGTTGTAAAATAAGGATGCTAAATATAATCCCCATGGTAACCATGAAAAGAGAGCCACAGAATATATGCAAGAGGAAATGAGAAAGGAATTTAAAAGTTTTACTTTTTTCAAAAAATCAACAAAATATAAAAGAAGACAGTAATGCAGGAAATGAGGAATAAAAAAGCTATAATATATATAGAAAACAAATAGCAAAATGACAGATGTAATTTGCTCACAAGTAATTGCTTCAAATATAAGTGAGTTAAACTTTTAATGACGACAACAGCAATGAATTAAAAAAGCATCAAATTATTTTACTTTAAATAAAAAAGATTGAGACAAAAAAGATTCATATTAATAAAATGTTCAATACAGTAAGAAGATATGTGAACCCGGGAGGCGGAGCTTGCAGTGAGCCGAGATCCCGCCACTGCACTCCAGCCTGGGCGACAGAGCGAGACTCCGTCTCAAAAAAAAAAAAAAAAAAAAAAAAAAAGAAGATATAATTGTGATAAACATATATGTACCTAATAACAGACTATCAAGGTATATGAAGCATATATTGATGGAAGTAAAGAGAGAAATAGATGGTTCTATGATAATTGTTTAAAACATTAATACCTCATTCTAAATAGATAGACCAACCAGAGAGAAGATAATAGAAGGGAAATGGAAGGCTTGAACAGCACGATAAACCAACTAGATCTAACAAACATATACTTAAACACTCTACCCAACAACATCAGAATGCACATTCTTCTCAACTTCCCATGGAACATTTTCAAGTTCAGACTGTATGGTAGGCCACAAATTAGGTTGTAGTAAATTAAAAAATATATATATCACCCAAAGTTTATTTATTCTCTAACAAAAATGGGATAAAGTTAGAAATCTATAACAGAAGAAAAATTGGAAATTTCACAATCTTGTGGAAATTAGTACACTGTTAAAAATGGATTAAATAATAAATTAAAATGAAAATTAGGAAATAATTTGAGAAAAATAAAAATGAAAATACAACATATCAAAACTTAGGGAACACAGAGAGAGTAATGCTAAATGGGAAATTTATAGCCATAAATAGTTACACTAAAAACCAATAAATATCTCAAATTAACAACCTAACTATGCAACTGAAAAATCTATAAAAAGAACAAACTGAATCCAAAGCTAACAAGAAGGAAATAATAAAGATTAGAGCCAAAATAACAAACTGAGAGAATAAAAAATAAATTGAGAATATAAACAAAATCAAAAGTTGTGTCTTAAAAAAAATAAAATGAACAATTATTTATCCAGATTGACGAAGAGAAAAAGAGAGAAGACTCAAATTAGTAAAATCCAAAATGAAAGAGGAGACATTACTATCGATTCTATAGAACTAAAAATAATTATAAGAAAGTACTATGAATAACTCTATGCCAACAAATGATAAGCTAGATGAAATGGAACAATTTCTAGAAAGGCAAAACATACCAAGGCTAAATCACAATAATATTTTTTAAAATTGGAATAAACTTATAAATAGCAAGAAATTTGAATCAGCAAACAGAATTTCCTGACTAAAGAAAGGGCCTGATGGCTTTGTTGGTGAATTCTATCAAATACTTAAAGAACAAATATCAATCTTTCTCAAATTTTCAAAACATTGAAGAGGAGGTAACACTTTTTAATTCACCTAATTCATTTTATGAGGCCAGTATTACCCTAATACCAAAGCCAGATAAAAATACTTTTGCATGAAAAGAAAAATACAGACCGTTATCTTTTATGAACATTGATGCAAAAATCCTCATCAAAATACTACTAAACCAAGTTTAGTAGTATACTAAAAGAATTATATACCATAGACAAGAGGATTTTATTTCTGAAATGCAAGGATGGTTCATCATATAAACATTAATCCATGTAACATATAACATTTACAGAATAAAGAAACTACATGATCATCTCAATTGATATGGAAAAAGCATTTAACAAAACTTAACACCCTATAGTGATGAAAAATCTTAACAAACTAGGAATAGAAAGAAACTGCCACAATATAATAATAGCCATATAAGAAGTCACAGCAAATATCATACAAATGATAAAAAATAAATCTTTTCCTCTAAGATCAGCAACAAGGCAAGAATGCTCTCTTTTGCAAGTTCTATTTCACATGGTAGTGGAAGTCCTAGCCAGGACAATTACGTTAGAAAAGCAAACAAAAGTCCTCCAAATTGGAATGATGGAAAAAATTATCTCTGTACCCAAATGATATAATCTTAGATGAAGAAAACCCTGAATGACACACACGCACACACACACACACACACACGCAGAGTTAGAACTAAAAACTAAATTCAGCAAATTTATAGGATATAAAGTCAACACACAAAAATCAGTTGCATTTATGCACATTAGCAATCAACAATGTGAAAATAAAATTAAGAAAATAATTTCATTTATAGTAGAATAAAAAATAATCAAATACTGTAAGAGGTAGAAAAGAAAACAAAAACAAAAGCCTTGTACACTAAAAGCAGCAAAACATTTCTGAAGGAATTAAAGAAGGTATAAATAAATGGGAATATATCCTATATCAATGGATTAAAGCTTTAAAACTGTTAAAATGTTAATTCTGCCCAATCTACAATAAATTTCACATATATTCTGAAATGATTTAAAACAAGGGTGTCAAGATCATTCAACAGGGAAAAGACAAATGATCTTGAGAAAACTGGATACAGCTTGCAAAAGTCTAAAATTGGACCCTTTCTAAAATGCCACATACAAATGGTTTTTGTTGTTGTTGTTTTCTTTTCTTTCTTTTTTTTTTTTTTTTTTTTTTTGAGGCGGAGTCTTGCTCTGTTCCCAGGCTGGAGTGCAGTGGCGCGATCTCAGTTCACTGCAACCTCCGCCTCTCAGGTTCAAGCAATTCTCCTGCTTCAGCCTCTGGAGTAGCTGGGACTACAGGCACGCACCACAATGCCCAGCTAATTTTTGTATTTTTAGTAGAGATGGGGTTTCACCATGTTGGCGGGGATCATCTCTACCCCTTGACCTCGTGATCCGCCAACCTGGGCTGCCCAAAGTGCTGGGATTACAGGCGTGAGCAACCACGCCCGGCCCTACCACATACAAATCTTAAATCATAATGAATCCATGACCTAAATACAAGACCTAACACTATAAAACTCATAGAATAAAACATAGGGCAAAAGCTTCATGACAATTGGACTTGGCGATGATATTTTATATATGACACCAAAGACATAAAAAAATACAAATTGTATTTTATGAAAATTATTTTTAAATGTGCATCAAAGGACAGTATTAACAGAATTAAAAAAAAAAACCCACCCAACGGGAGATATTACTTGCAAATGTTATGTTTGATAAGGAATTTCATTGTTCTGAATATATGGAGAATTCCTAAAATTCAACAATAAAAACACAACCAAATTAAAAAAATAAATGAGGAACTTGAATAAACTTTTCTCCCAAGAAGATACATGAATGGCCGACAAGCACGTGAAAAAAATGCTCAACATCACTAATCATTAAGGAAATACAAATCAAAACTACAATACAATACCACCTCACACCTATTATGATGGCCACTATCAGAAAAACAGAAAAAAGTTTTGGCAAGGATATGGAAAATTAGAACCCTTATAAACTGTTGGTAGAAATGTAAAATGGTACAGTCACTGTAGAAAACAGGAGGAGTTTCACAAAGAAATAATAATAGAGTTACCATATGAACCAGCCACCCTGAAAACAGGGTCTGGTCTGGAAGAGATATTTGTACACTCATATTTATATCAGCATTACTCACAAGAGCTAAAATGAAGAAGCAAACCAAGTGTCCTACATTTGAATGAATGGATAAGCAAAATGTGCATAAAATTAAATATTATACATCCTTAAAAACAAAGAAAATTCTGACAATTCAAAAACATTTTGTTTTGCTAAGGTAATACATTTATTTATAACCAAATATATTAGGTTGGTGAAAAAGTAATTGCCATTTTTGCCATTACTTTCAATGGCAAAAACCACAATTACTGTTGCATTAAACTAATATTTCACAAAAGAGCTTGTATTTTGTAGAAAATATATATTTTTATATTTGTATAACTGCCTTCAACTTTTCTGAAAAAAATTGTGGGGAGGTGATATTGATAGGTACTATTAAAATGACAAATGGTAAAACTAACTAAAAATGGCAGAACTAAGAATGAGTCATAACTCAGATGCTTGAATTTATCTTGTCATTCTGAGACCGATTCATGAGAGCAGTTGCCTATTAGATCTAGGCATAATGCCAAATAATGCAAAATATGGTTTGAAATGTAATTTAGGTGTTGCTATTGCCCTCGTATTATTTTCTGTGAATGAATTTAAGTTTATTAATTAAGCCATAGTAAACCCAAAAAGTATGACCATTATGTTTAGTGAAATTATTTCTGGATTATGTTTATCTATATTAACAGTAGAATACATCCTTCTTACTGCTTTGAGAACCTGTCTCTCCAGCTTCATCATTAAGCTGAGGCTAGGACTTTGCTTAAAACCATGTATTCTTGGTTTCTTCCTCTCTTAACCTGCTTCTCTCACTCTTTTACACGATTTTTGTCTGTTTGTTTCTATTTTCTGTTTTCCAGAAACCCTTTCTTAATAAGTCACTTGCAGAGGAATCCTGATATTAAGGTTTTGTTCTGTGGAATTCACCCTATGCTGTAATTTACTTTTACTTTATTTCTTCCAAAGTTCAAGAACAATAATGCTTCAATATGTATCGAGTGCTGAATATGTGCCATATTTCCTAATATGGAGAGTATGTCAGTGATACTAAGTCAGGATGAAGGTGACAGTGAACTCCAAACAATAGTGGATTCCAAAAGATCAAAGTTTTTATCTGTCTCCCATAAATAGGGGTAATTCAAGGTGTGTATGGATTTTTCTACCAGCAGGGACAAATGCTCCTTCTTTTTTTTATCTTGTTTAGTAAGAACGCTCACACATGCTAATGAAACATGGTGGTGCATCTTTATAAACTGCCAGAAGAAGCAAGAGGAAGGGGAAGGGAATACCCCTCAGTTTCAAGACAGTTTTCAATTTGTAAACATAAAATACAACCTTTAGTGTGAGCTTGTCACAAGGACAAGCTTTGTGGCAACAAGGATGGGAAAGCTAGTCTTTATTTTGGGTAGTCATATGCTTAACAAATATTGACAGGGTAGTTTAAATAGATAATAATAAGGTCATGAATATTGGGTAAAAAAGAGTTGTCTCTACCACAGCAAGAAAAAAGATAGCCTTCCTTTTTCATCTCAAGCATCTATTTTACCAGGTAGGAGTGTTTTAGGCATTCCAAAAACATGAGTTAAGATATCTCAAAGTACTCCTTATAATCAGTTAACTGCACTCTTGTTGTTATTTTAATTCAAGAAATAAATCTAAAATATTTTTTAAAAAGGATAAATTTGAGGCAAATCTAAACATCATAAAAGTCTGTTAAATGCCTGCAGACTTTTAAAGCTACTCAATATATTTTAGCGTCCACCTTATTCCAAAAGACCGTTTGAAAGCAAGATTTCCTCTCCAGCAAAAAAAATCATTTTTGTTATATGACACCAAAGAATTGTATCAGATACTTAAATACACTGAATTGTTGGTCTCCTTTGTGTTGTGATTTTGCAGAAAGATGCCCATGAATAAATATTTTGGAACCATCAATCTAGAAATGCAACATTCAGCAAGTCTGTTTAGAAGTACATTTACTGAGAAAATGTTCGTTTCACATAGAAAAAAATATATTTAGGAAAATGTTCCACTGAGATGAAAAATGTTTTTCATTCTGATTTCAAAGAGTTTCAGAAGGCTTAGCACTAATTCTCTCATTCAGGTTGGCAGAGAAATTTACCTAATTAATATGATCTATTAAAAATATGATTTAAGCCAGTTCACTTGATTTCTTAAAGACAATAAACTCCATGAAGACAAGGATGATGATCCTTACATATTCACATTTTATTACTAGTATTTAACATAGTGCCTCGCCTGAAATAGAAATACAATACATATATTTTAATTAAATACTAATTCATAAATTTGCTAATGAGAAAAAATGGACACTACTATTTTGCCTACTTTAGTGATCCTGAATTGCAAGGTTCAGGAGAGGGGAATGGGATGAATGCCTCGTTAGGCTAGCTAGAAAATTCTACTTGTCAGATCCAGTTGTGTGCCTACCTTCATTTCCTTTGTAAATGTTGCAGTCATTTTTTTAACGACACAAATAACAAAGGAAACTAAAAAATAAGAGCATGAATTTTCTGAAAGCCAGTGCAATATTGCTTATTGTGTGTTATCTGTGTTATCTGTGTGCTACTCAAACTTATATAAACCATGGAGATTAACAGCATAACTATAGTATGCATAGGGATATAGATATTCTTTCTATGATACAATGGGAATTTAAAAACTTTTTGAATAAAGAAATGAATGAATGAGTAAATAAAAGAAAGTCAAATGAATGAAATTCATATTAAAAGCCAACAGAACTGGAAATATTACTGTTGAGTTGCAGAAATAAATGTTCAGTCATTCAAGATTATACTCTGGAAATCATTCTGTATTCAGATAAATAATTTCTCTGAAATAACAGAGGATACTCCAGCTTCCAGGTGAGCAGCTCAACTTGAGTTTTGCAGACAAAGATTACCTGGATCCACAGGTAATATGTGTAGTCAAATATCAATTTCAGACTAAAAAGGGCATGGAATGGTCTATGGATAAACTCATCATATTATAGTTAGAATTCAGTAAGGATTCATCCAGATGCAGAAGATTCAAGTAATCTATACTGGAAAATTAGAAAATGGAACTGAGTAGAACTAGCAAGACAGTTAAAACAACTGGGTAGAAAATACATAGGAAAATGTTCCTCTGATGTGAAGGGCATGAGATGCAATCACACAAGCTCTGCAACATGTTGATATATTTGCAGACCTCCAACATATGATGCATATGCATTGCTGTAGATTACAACATGAACCACCCTACAAATTACTTATAAAGGGCTAGTAGACTTTTTTCCCTTGATATCTTACCCTTTAAAAAAATCTCTAATACTAGTTAGTATTCAATCTCTAACAACCTCTTTGATGTTATTCACTGGCACAATGCTGCTGTTTCCTTAGAGAGAGAGATCAAAAAACTCTTTTTTTTTGGTAGGGCAACTAACTAACTAAGAGATACAAGTTGGAAATACATGACCTTATTGAGCAGAAATATAGATGTCACATCTAATGTCATTCTTAATGTGATGAATATAAATAATATAATAGTTGTTATATAATTAATATAATAGAAATGACCCATATGATAAGAGCACCTACTGTGTGCCTGGACTGTTTCCTGTTTCCTTGCTTTCAAGATAGGCAGCTTTCATTTATAAAGTTCCAGTTAAATTATATAATCAGTTAAACTTAGGCATGTTTAGCTTATTCTATTGCTTACCTAAAAGATAGATAAAATGTTTACTTGGAATGAATATAAATTAAAAAAACAGTTGACCTAAGAGCTCCCAAGGAGGGAAAAAAAACAGAAATAATAAGTCTAATAAAGGTTGCTTCATAAGTACTTTGGCTATCAAAAAATAAATATGTTGCTGTGCATGGTGGCTCACGCTTGTAATCCCAGCATTTCGGGAGTCCAAGGCAAGTGGATCACCTGAGGTCATGAGTTCAAGTTGAGCCTAACCAACATGGTGAAACCCCATCTCTACTAAAAATACAAAATTAGTCAGCTGTGGTGGCACATGCCTGTAATGACAGCTACTCGGGAGGCTAAGGCAGGAGAAACGCTTGAACCTGAGAAGCAGAGATTGCAGTGAGCCGAGATCATGTCAGCCTTGGCAACAAGAGTGAAATTCTGTCTCACAAAAATAAAAAAAAATTTAATCAGTTTTAGAGCTATTTTTAAATTTTAGCTGAGCAACAGATAACGAATAAAAATTATTTAAAAATATTATAGCTCTTTATTGTGACTAGATCAAAGAAGAAAAAATAACCCAGATCAACATTCTTAATTTTATTTTTTGTCATTTATGAAGGGATAACTATGCTATAATTTCAGATTATGTAGCCATATTTTATTTTTAGTAAGTAAAGTTATAATTTAGAAAAAAATAAAAAATCATAAAAATTAGATGGATCTGTTTCTATCCATTTTCACTAGAAACTTTAATATATAGTCCTTTCGATATCAATATCAAGAAAAGTAACTTCCAGAATTATTTTCTTCAAAGAGATTTTATTCAGTACATTGATAGCAGCAGAATCAATTGCTTTATGCTTGTTTGTTTTGTTTTCTGATGGGAAAACTCTTTAATGAACATAATTCAAATAGATTTGTAACCATGGGTTGTAAAGAAACACTCATATTTGGGTGATTCTGTATCAGAAGACAATATAACATAAGATGAATACAAATGTGATTAGAGATATATAATGGCAGTCAATCATAATCACCATGGTGAAAATAAATTTCATGGAGTGAAAATCTAAAGGCATTGCTTATCTTCCTCTTAAAATGAAAATCTGCTAGCCAGAATGAAAATGGGTTGCTCATCAGCATGTCTTAATTCACTGAATAATGACTTTGCTTTTATGGTAGAAATTCAAGTCAGAAGACGGACTCAAAGAGTGCTCAGTGGGAAGTAACTGTACCTCCCCAGAGCTGATGAACTTACGAACTGAGGTAAGTTGAGGAAAGAATGGAAATCAGGCATCCTACTGTATCTGTAGCAAGCACTCAGACTGATAATGTAATAGATATTGATGCTTGCCCGCAGAGATGAATAGTTGAAGAAAAAAGGAGAAATTTTTCAGCTCTTCTTGATTCCATATTATTCTTCTCATGACTGGTGCTTGAAAGCTAGTCAAATGATTCAAGAATACCATTACTCCTGGAATGTATCTAATTGGATAAATGGTGGCAGGTTATGCCTTCCACTATTGGAGAGGTAGTTATAGTTACTTTATATTTTTGTTTAAGGCAGCTTTATGATGCTCAGTGAATTCTGTTATTTTTGAAAAACTAAGATAATAATGCTTTTATCCTTATTTTTAGACATGTATTGGCACTTCAAAGAGTGAATCCAAACCCTATCACATTCCATTATCAGTAAAAAACTACAGGATAACACTAGAAAAAACACCTACCTTAAAACATAAAAAAAGAAAATATAGGCTTTATATATGTTATAATATTTATTTAGTGGTCTTATTCTTCAGAAAACAAAAAAATATTCTTCATAAATAACCTAATTTTAGTCACGTGTACATGACAGTACATTTCTACATATTTAATTAATTTTTATGGTAATTTACAAATAAGTGTAGTACAAAACGACCTGCAAATAATTTGGAAATAAGAAGGAAAAGATAAGCAAACACAACTATTCTTATGGCTGTCAGAGAAGTGAGGTCACAGGACAAACCAAAACCCTCGAAATTGTAGAGACAGACAGGTAGACAGATACACAGAATCACAACTTATCTGAGCAGAAATCTATGAGCAGAAGCCTCCATGTGAATCAGTAAAAGGGTAGGAAAACCTAAATTATAATTATTATTTTTGGAGGCTCAGTGTGGGCAAGCCTAAGAGACTAAAAAAAAAAAAAAAAGCAATCTCCAGAAAGATTCAATGATTCAGTGATAGAAGGACCCTCATCACGCTTTTGTTAGCTTTAGCTCCAGGAGTTGTCTCAGGTTCTCATAGTGAATACAGAAGAAAAATACTATCATGTATGCATCAGGGGGTACAGAAAAGAAACCATTTGAAATATGCCAGAGTATTCTGTAGTTAACAAGGCCAGCCCTCAGGAAAAACTATTGTATCAGAGCCTAACCTCCTGAGGTTATATCAGAGTCTGTCCTACCTAGGGGAAGGGAATTAGCCAACTCCAGCTGACTTTAGTCTTCCATGTAAGGAAAAGGAAATACACAACTTAAGCCCCTCCTTCAGCCATCCTGCTCTACCTAACCCGGGGAAAAAAGGAGAAGCAGTTGTGAGGTTCACAGTCTAAGGGCACAGACTCACCAAAAGACTGAGACCTACCCATAGAACTAAAGAACATTTCCCCTGCCCTGACATCTTAGAACCACATTATTAAAGGCTTGTTTAATGTATTTCCCTTTACCCAGTAAATCACCTCTGCTGAGGACCCCAAAAATTACAAAGCACAATAAAAGGCAAAAAAAATAGTTTGAGGAGACTGAACAAGCATCCAAACCAGAGCAACATATGCCAAGATTATTAAAATTTTTAGAGCAGAATTTTTAAAAACTATAACTAACATGTAAATAACTTTAATGGAAAAAGTAGACAACATGCAAGAACACAGGAATAATGTAAGCAGAGATGGAAATTCTCACAATAAAATTTTTTCTAAATGCTGAAGGTAAAAAACACCAAGCACCGAGAAACATAAATGCCAAAAAAATGGACACCTAGGCATATTATATTCAACCTTCAGAAAAATCAAAGACAAAGAAAACATACTCAAAGAAATCAGAGGAATAAAACAACTTAACTATACAGGAGCAAAAAGTAGAATTACATTTAACTTATCTTAATAAACCATGCAAACAGAACAAGAGAGTGGAGAAATATTTAAAGAGCTGAGTGAACAAAAACTTGCCAATGTAGAATTCTTTACCTCTTGTGAAATTATCCTTTAGAAGAGAAGAGAAAGGTTAAATAACTTTTTAGACAAACAAACATTAAGGAAAAATGTTACCAGTAGAGCTGTCTTGCAGGAAATGTTAGAAAAAGTGTGTCTGAGATAAGGATAATATAAATTAGAAACTTGTATCTTCGTGAAGAAAGAAAGAATTTCAGAAAGTGAATACTAAATATGGAAAAAATATGTATTCTACTTGTTCTTAATTTAAGAGATAACAGTTTTTCTCACATATTAGGAATAGTATATTTCATTTTATATACATATATAAAATGAAAATATATATACTTATGTAATGAAATACACTATTATTTTTACATTTATTTACATAAATATATACATTATATAAATTTATATGTTTATGTATAACTATATATAAAATACATAAAAATATAAAAATATATATTTTTTCTCACATACATATGTGAAAAAATGAATGATAGCAATGATGCAAGGGACAACAAGGAAAAATTGGGAAGATGTTGTTTTTATAATGTATTTGTACTATTCAGAAAGCAGTATAGTATATTTGTGATCTGCAGTGAAAACTACTTAGATGAGGGATACAAATGTAAATTGGAAACTCTATGGCAACTACTAACAAAAAATAAATACAAATAGAAGTATAATTGATAAGCTAAAACAAGAAAATGAATCATATAAAATGTTCAAATAAAATCACAAAAGGTAGTAAAAGTATGGGAGACAAAAGCAAGAAAAAGAACAAATAGGATGTAGTAAAAAATATGGTAGATATTAATCCAACTCTATCAACAATCACCTTAAATGTCAATGGTCTATGTACACCAATGAAAAGATAGAGCTAGAGTGGGTCAAAAAACAAGATTCAAATATATGTTTTCTATAAGAAACCAATTGTAAATATAGAAACATATAGACTGAAGGTAAATGATGGAGAATACTATACAATGTGGACAATAACCCAAATAAAACAAGAATATCTATATTAATTTTAGATAATTTTAGATAGAACAGAAGTCACAGCAAGGAAATTATCAGACATAAGAGAGGAATATTACATAATGACAAAAGCATCAATACTACACAAAACTATAGCAATCTTTAACATGTATGTGCCTAGCAAGAAAGCATAAAAGTATGTAAAAAATTAGACATGCATATAGATGAGACCATTATTTTTGTTGGAGGCTTCAACACTTTTTCAAAAATAGCTCCAGCAGGCAGAAAATCAGTAATGACATAGATGAACTCAAGACCACCATTAATCAAATAAATGTAATTTATATCTATGAATTACTTTATTCAACAAGCAGAAAACACATTTTCCTCAAGTTCATATGGAACATTCACCAAGATAGAACACATTCTGGGCCATAAAGGATAACTTAACAAATTTAGAAGAATAGAAATCATACAAATCCTGCTCTGAGACAAAAGTGGAATTAAACAAGAAATCAACAACAGAATAATAGCTGGAAAATCCTTAAATACTTGGAGATTAAAGAACAATCTTTTATATAACACATGGGTCAAAGAAGAACCTTAAGAAAAATGTGTAAGTTTTTATCTAAATTAAATTGAAAATACAATTTATAATAATCTATGAGATGCAGTGAAAACAGTGCTTAGAGGAAAATTTATAGCATATAAGAAAAATTAAAATATCTAAAATCAGTATTCTAAACTTACATGTTTAAAAGGGCAAATTAAATCAAAAGTTAGTGGAACATAAGAAATAATAAAACATTAGAACAGAAATCAATGAAGTTGAAAACTGGGGATGAAGAGAGAAAATCAATAAAGCAAATGCTGGTTTTTAAAAAGATCAATAAAATTGATAAGCTCCTAGTCAGACAAACTAAGAGAAAAAGAGGAAAAACACAAATTACTAATACCAGAAATGAAAGAAATCATCATTATACATCTACTATAGATCCATGGAACATTAAAAGAAAAATAAATAAATATTATGAACAACTCTATGCCTATAAATTTGATAAATTGGATGAAAGGTATCAATTCCTTGAAAGACACATCTGCCAAAACTCATACAAGAAGGAAAATGCAATCTTAATCAGCCTAGATCCATTAAAGGAATAGAATCAGCCAGTAAAGGCTTTCAAAACAGAAAGCATGAGATTTTGATAGGTTCACTGATGAATTCTCTCCAAATTAGGACCAAGAAAATTATGTTCCATCTCACCACTGCATCTCAATATTGTACTAGAAGTCTTAGCTAATGCATTAAGACAAGAAAATAAAATAAAAAGTATACAAAATTGGAAGAAATAGATAATACTATCTTAGTTCACAGATGGCATTATTATCTATGTCAAAATCTGAGAGAATATATTTTAAAAACCGGAGCTAATAAGTGATTATAGCAAGGTTGAAGAATACAGTTCATACATAAAAATCACTTTCCTATATACAATCAATGAACAACAGAAATTTGAAAATAAAAACATATTACTCTTTATATCAGTGCCCCTAAAAATGAAATATTGAGTGTAAATTCATGAAATGTGTGTCCCAGATCTATCTTAGGAAAACTACAAAACCGATGAAAGATAGCAAATAACAAAATAAATAGAAAGTTATTCTATGTTCTTGGATAGTTAGGCTCAATATTGTCAAAATGTCAGTACTTCTCAACTTGTTCCATAGATTGGACACCATTCTCATCAAAATTCCAGCAAGTTATTTTGTGAATATACATAAACTCTCTCAAAAGTTTATATTCAGAGACAAAAGACCTAGGATAACCAACTCACTATGGAAGGAGAAGAAAAAGTAAGAGGACTGACACTACTCAATCTCAAGACTTACTGTAAAGCTACAGTAATCAGTGTGATATTGCAACAAAAAAAGACAGAGAGATCAATGGAATAAAGCAGGGAGCCTAGAAATAGACCAACATAAGCAGAGATAGTTTTTTCACAAATTGTGTTGAAAGCAGTGGAGATTCATAAGCAAAGAAATAAATCTAGACATGGACCTTACAGCTGTCACAAAAATTAACTAAATATAGGCCATACACCTCAATGTAAAATGCAAAACTATACAGCTATAAAAAAAAGTGGAAAACCTATGTTTTATTATTTCTTATGTTCCACTAACTTTTGATTTGGAAAACCTATGGTTTTCCACTAGATGATCTTCAGAATGATTATGAATATTTAGATACAGCACCAAAGGCATGATCCATGGAAAAATAATTCATAAACTGGAGTTTATTAAAATTAAAAACTTGTACTCTGAAAAAACAAGGTCAAGAGAATGAGATTAAAAAAACACAAACGGGTAAAATTATTTGCAAATCATACATCTGAAAAATAAATAACCCTCAAAATTCAACAATAAGAAAATAACCTGCCGGGCACGATGGCTCACGCCTGTAATCCCAGCACTTTGAGAAGCTGAGGCGGGCGGATCACGAGGTCAGGAGATAGAGATCATCCTGGCCAACATGTTGAAACATCATCTATACTAAAAATACAAAAATTAGCCGGGCGTTGTGGCACGCGCCTGTAGTCGCAGCTACTCGGGAGTCTAAGGCAGGAGAATCGCTTGTACCCAGGAGGCGGAGGTTGCAGTGAGCCCAGATAGCGCCACTGCACTCCAGCCTGAGCGGCAGAGCGAGACTCCGTCTCAATAATAATAATAATAATAATAATAATAATAATAATAATAATAATAACAACCACCTGCTTTAAAAAATGGCCCAAAGACCTAAACATACACCTTATCAAAGACACACATGGTAAGTAAGCATATAAAAAGATGTTCGATATCATATGCCATTGGAAAATTGTGAATTAAAACAAGATACCACTACACTCCAATTAGAATGACCAGAATCCAAAAATGTGACACTGTCAAATGTTGTCGAAGGTGGGGAGTAGCAGAGCTTTCTTTCATTAATTGTTGGTAGAAAGGGGAAATGATATGGACAGTTTGAAAAGCAGTATGCCAAGTTCTTACAAAACTAAACATACATTTACCACACAATCTAGCTAGTAAACTCCTTGGTATTTACTCCAAGTTATTGTCCAAACAAAAGCCCGCACGTGGATGCTTATAGAAGATTTATTCACAATTGCTAGAACTTGGAAACAACCAAATATTTTTTCAGTAGGTGAGTGGATAAACTGTGGAATATGTAGACAATGAAATATTCTGTGCTAAAAAGATATGATCTATCAAGCCTTGATAAAGACATGGAGAAGCCTTAAGTGCATATAACTAAGTGAAACAGCTGATCTGAAAGTCTGATTCTAATTATACAACATTAGGAAAAACGGCAGAAATATGGAGGCAGTAAAAAGGTTAATTGTTACCAGAGATTAGGCAGGGTGAAGGAATAAACAGGCAGAGCATATATGAGTTCAGAACAGTGAAACTTTCCTGGATACATATTATTACACATTTTCCAGAATTCATGGAATGTACAACATTGAGCGTGAACCCGAAGGGAAACTATGGACTTTGGCTGATAATGATATGTTATTGTGGGTTCATCAGTTGTAACAAATGCACTACTGTAGTGTGGGATATAGATGGTGACGGACGTTGTTTGTATGGGATGAGTGGCGACAGAAGTTATACAGGAACTCTCCGTGCTTTCTGCCCAATTTTGCTGTAAAACTAAAACTTCTTTAAAAAATAGTTTATTAATAAAAAGAAAACTTTAGACAGGTGCTGTAATTATATGATAATTAAAATATTATAGGCAGTGTGCGGTGACTTACGCCTGTAATCCCAACATTTTGGGAGGCCGAAGTGGGTGGATCACGAGGTCAGGAGTTTGAGACCAGCCTGGCCAACACAGTGAAATTCCATCTTTACTAAAAAAACTAAAATTAGTCAGGTGTGCTGGCACATGCCTGTAGTCCCAGCTACTCGGGAGGCTGAGGCAGGAGAATCATTTGAACCCGGGAGGCGGAGGTTGAGGTGAGCCAAGACTGCACCATTGCACTCCAGCCTGAGTGACACAGCAAGACTCCATTTCAAACAAATATATATATATATATCAACAAACATATATATATACATATGATATATATATGTATAAGTATATATGTTACATTCTAATAGATTTGCATGCTTATTTTTATTATTTGGATTTGATATTGTTAAAACAGCTATATGAAGAAAAGAGGTGAATATTTTTAAATTTTCCTTCAATTTCAAATTTGATAAACTTTTAATTTCTCACTAGTAAAATTGCAAAATTCATATAATGCATAACATTTGATCTACACACATAACAAAATTATTTCTGAATCAAAATTTGGTAACTTAAAATTTGGGGAGGTGCATTTACTCTACTAGGCAAACAGTGAAAATTATATGTGATTCTAAATGTGGATAAAGTCTCACTTTAAATGAACCAAATATTTACCTGTAATTAACATTCTGGTATGTTCAGAATTCTTCGACAAATTCAATGATTTTGTGTATACACATAGATACATGCTGATTAGAAGGGTAGCAACATGACAAATTCACAACTAATAACTCTTAATTGAATTACGTGTCAATTTTGCTTTAGCAAAAGTTTTATATTCTGTTGTTTTATTGTATTTTGAACATGTAATTGTTTCAATCAGTATTGATATTTTATTCCTTGAGGAAATGATACAAAGGGAAATTGACCTTTGAATTATTCAGTCTCACAATAAATAGAAAAGAATGCTGGATTGTTTTGTAAAAATTACTTACAGGTGGAGAGCAAGTGGGCAAAAATCTAGAATATCCCAAGCAGCTAGGAGGAGTTAGGAGGAGAGAATGATCCCTAAGAGAGCAAATATGTGAGTTTTCCATTATGCCTATTAGAACCCCCACTCCATGTACATAAGATCAGTTTTACATTCACAGGAAATGGCAGAGTGGGTAGTGGGGGGACTGAGAATCTTGTACCTTATTTGGGAGTATTTTACCTTGTCTTCTGATTTATGTAGTTTAGTGCATACAAATGAGTTTCCATATCCTCTTTTATAAAGGAAACCTATATTTTAATTATACTAGATGTTATGTTTCCATCTGTAATATAACAGAGCCACCTTGAAGGTGACTTTTATAGTATTATAATGTGGAATTATAATTAACACAATCCAAACAAAAGTTAATAAAAATTAAGAGATTTAAAATATTTTCAATAGAAAAAAAAGACAATATAAATTTTTTTAAAAAAAATTTCTGTTCTAGATTTCTCCAAAATCTAGATTGCTCATTAAATACGTATGTAAATTAATTATTTAGTATCTTAAAAAAAGGAGAACTTTACATTTTTTCCAAGCAACTGAACAGTAAAACATATTGCTTTTTCTTCTTTTTCTATCAATAAAATTGTTAAATTTATAGGTATTTGTAAAATTTCTATAAAGCCTATGAGTTGTATATTGAAACCTAAAGTTTTCTAGTTTCTATTTTTATGTATACAAAAACATTTGTACTATCATCATTTTAATTACAAGTCATACTTCTTTTTTTTTTTTGAGACGGAGTTTCGCTCTTGTTGCCCGAGCTGGAGTGCAATGGTGTAATTTCAGCTCACTGCAACCTCCACTACCCGGGTTCAAGCGATTCTCCTGCCTCAGCCCCCCGAGTAGCTGGGATTACAGGCACCCACCACCATGCCTGGCTAATTTTTTGTAGAAATGGAGTTTCACCATGTTGGCTAGACTGATCTTGAACTCCTGACCTCAAGTGATCCACCTGTCTCGGCCTCCCAAACTACTGAGATTACAGGCATGAGCCACTGCACCCAGCCTATTATAAGGCATTGTTCTATAGTCCTAGAATGATTAAATCTAGTGCTAGTATAATAATTAAAAGGGTCAATACAACAGATGATTTTAATAAACCTTGTAAATATCTACTCAATTTCTCAAGCTTTTCAATTAGCTAGATTAAAAATTACTACTAATAATAATATTTATGTGTAATTAAAAATGGTGTAGGCAACGAAATAATTTAAATAAGTGCTGTAGTCACAGAGGTGTCCTAATAGATGATGTTATATGATAAAAGAGTAAAAATTCATAATGTAATGTTTTTGTTAAAATACATTAATTGCCATTTCAGGAATACTTTCTACATGTATTCTAATACTATTACATGTAAAGAAAAATTACTACAGGGTCTGTTTCAGAGGATTTATTAAATTCAAAATAATTGTATAGAAAACTTACATTTTAATATTAGTTTTTCCAATATATTCTTACAAATTCTGCCTTTATAGGCTCAAATCTTAGCTTTCACATTCTATTTCATAGAAATATATGTATAAATGTAGAGGCTCATGATACAACTTTAATATCCCTTTATTTGTGATAGTAAAGTAGATTATAATTATGTTTAAAACACATAGAGTATGCAACAAAATTCCACCAACCTTGCTCACAAAGATCAAAACCTCAATTTACTGTGATTGTTTTACTAACATTTTTCTTTACCTTATCTGTTGCACTCTTGACTGAATAATCATCATTGGTTTCAATATACACAACAGAACTGGCAAAATGCCAAAAATAATTGTACACTAATTTTTCTTTCCCAGAGGAAACCACAGAGTGAGATCATATGCCATTACATGCACATGTATGTATGTGTGTGGAATGTGTATAAATTAAATGTATGTGGAAATAATGTATATTTAATTTACTATAACAGACATGTGACATACATTTCATTCAGCTGAAATATTATATGCAGAATACTCTGATTAATTAAGATTTTACTATTCTTTAGGATGACCCCCAAGTAGTTTTTAAGTAATTTACTTTACTTTGCAGATTGTCCAGGCTTTTATTTGTCTACGAATACAGTTTACAGATTTGGCAAGTGAACAATCCTTTGTATGACTAATCAGCCAACTTTAGTACTTAAAATTTAAACCAATAAATTTTGCTGATTGCAGCCAAACTGGGTATTTTTGAGCTTCATTATATAATTAAATAAATATAAAATATTATTACCTTAAGGCATTCCAGCAGAATAACTATTTTATTAAACTAGTACTAATAGCTTCCATAGCACTCAATATAACCCAGATTCTCTCTTCATATAATGCTCAAGAATGGAATTGACCTCTTTCCCAAAGATGGAGAATATTTTCAATTTAAACTGCTTCTAAATCTTAACTAGATTTTATACCTTAAAAACATGGGCTATATATTAGAATAGCATAGGCCATTTGCAGTGACAAATAGTCTTAAAATCAGTATAGCAGGAGTCTCTGTCCTTAGATACATTGAGGTCCAGGATGACAGAAAATATACCTCTGTGTCACAGCAATATCTGGAATATGTGTACTAACTAAGCTGCTGCTACAGGGGAAGACAAAGGAAAAATTGGATGTGGAACCTTTCACTGTGATTCTCTGTATGTAACATAGAGCATTACTGTTCACAATTCCATGGCCAGGAGAAGTAACATGAACATGCCCAACTACAAGGAGGACAGGAAAATATTTTCAGAAATACAGAATATGTGATAAGTGTTATCATTGCAATAATTTGTATAGTACAAGGGGAAAAATGAGAAACAAATCAGAAATCAAAATGAATTATCATGTAGGTGTTTCTATGTTAGAAGGCAAAATTGTTTAAAATATAATAAATTGCTTCAAATATTCATAATTATACTTTACATTTACATGGGTCTATCCCAATCTGGCTAACTGTAGGTGCATAACTAAACTGAACTTCATAATACATCAGTCCTTTCACAGAGTATTCCGGATGATTTTCTCAATAATGATGTGGCAGACATTTAAATAAGAATGGATCTGTTTTTAATTCAACAAGCTCTTCTGAAAGCAGTTGTCCCCAAAAGTCTCTGCCTTAATTTCCACATTACTGATTTTCCTCTATGTTTAAGTAGAATAATAAGTTATTTTCTATTTTAATTTAAAAGTTGACAAGGAGGACCTAATTAAACTAAAGAGCTTCTGCAAAGCAAAAGAAAATATCAACCAAATTAACCAACAACTTACAGAATTGGAGAAAAGATTGCAAACTATGCATCAAACAATAGTCTAATATCCAGAATCTATATGGAACTTAAAAAATTCAACAAGCACAAACAAGTAACCCCGTTAAAAGGTGGACAGAAGAAATAAATGAACACATCTCAAAAGAAGACATACATGCACCAACAAACATAAAAAAAGTTCACCATCAATTATTAGAGAAATGCAAATCAAAACTACAGTGAGATATTGTTTCACAGTAGTCAGAATGACTATTATTAAAAAGTCAAGACATAACAGATGTTGGTGAAGTTGCAGAGAAAAGGGAATGCCTCCATACTATTGGAGGGAAGGTAAATTAGTTCAGCCACTGTGTAAAGCATGTGGGATTTATCAAAGAACTTAAAACAGTTACCATTCAACCCAGCAATCTCATTACTGGGTATATACCCAAAGGGAAATAAATCATTCTACCAAAAACAGGCATGCACTCATATGTTCATCACAGCACTATTCGCAATAGGAAAGACATGGAATCAACATAGGTGCTCATCAATGGTGGATTGGATAAAGAAAATATGGTATATACACACCATCGAATACTATGCAGCCATAAAAAATAATGGAATCCTGTCCTTTGCAGCAACATGGATGCACCTGGAGGCCATTATTCTTAGCAAATTAATGCAGGAACAGAAAACCAAATACTGTATATTCTTAATTACAGGTGAGAAGTAACCACTGAGTACACATGGTCATAAAGATCGAAACAATAGAAATTGGGAGCACTAGAGGAGGGAGGGAAGGAGAGGTGGTGTGGGTTGAGAAACTACCTATTGGGTATTATGCTCACTACCTGAGTGACAGGATCGTTTGCATATCAAACCTCAGCATCACACAATATACCCATGTAAAAAACCTGCACAAGTACCCCATACACCTAAAATAAAAGTTGGAATTAAAAAAATTCAATTAAAAAATTTATACTTTTATTTTACAAACTTACAAATATATTTCACAAATTTTATCCAATATTAAATTACAATTAGCCCCATTAAATTTGGGGAAATAAAGGCGATATCAGCTGTTGAAATTATAAAATGCATGCCTGTGTTAGATTAATCAGCTGTGCCTTTATAGAAAGGTATTAGGTCCTGTAAGCCACAGAAAAGAAGAAAGATTAAAAGGACTAGAAATATGTTGACACAGAGGTCTCTAAAACAGGTTTTAAAATTTTATTGTTAATCATTCCTGCCAGTAAAAGAAATGACATTTTATAAAAATACATTTTACACACCTCAATTCAAACATCTGAAATCCAAAATGCTCCAATATTAAAACTTAATGAGCACTGATATGATGCCACAAGGGAAATATTCCATGTTTGACCTCATGTGGTGAGTCATAGTCACAATGCAGGTGCACAACACACAGTTTATTCCATATTTCCAAGGGGATTAAACACCCTCCCAGCCCTCTTTAGCTGTGATATAACTTTTTCAAGCAAACCAAGATTCTTCCACAATAACACACCCATGAAGAGTCATAAAACACTCTCTCTGCAGGCTAAAGGCACCAACTGCAGCTGCATTCTTCATGATGTCTCACACGGGGTCAATACCTACGTGCATTACTCAGTGTGTTTTTGGCTTATTCTATGCTCTGTGGTATAAAGATACTGTTAAAAATGCCAAAAGGGCCTGCAGGTTCCCCTATAGGTAACAGTGATAAGAAAAGGAGGAAGCATTTATGTTTATAGCACAGAAAGTCAAGCTGTTGGAGAAACTAGACAGTGGCGGATGTGTGAAACATCTTACGGAAGACAATGGTATTGAAATGGCCACCATATATGACCTGAAGAAACAGAATACAATGTCTAAGCACTATGCTGAAAGTGCTAAACCAAAGTTAATGAAAAATAGAAAAAAAAAACACTGCATAAAGCTAAAAATGAATATCTCAACTGTGTATTGAAAGAGTGGATCCATCACCATCTCAGTGAGGCCACATAATGGTATGCTGATCATGATAAAATGACAATTGAAGGAAAATATGAATATTTGACAGGCAGATTGCAGATATTTAAGAAAATACAAAGCATTTTTTAAAAAAGATTGGTCATTATAAAGCATCATCTGATGGTGAAGCAACAAAGAAATTCATTGATGAGCTTTCTGAGGTTATTGCTGATGAAAATCTGATGCTAGAACAAGTCTATAATGATGAAGAAACACCAGTGTTTCATCATTATTGCTCCAGAAAGACACTGACTATATCTGATGAGGCAGCCCCTATAGGAATTAAGGATGCCAAGGACTAAATAACTGTGATGGGATGTTTTCATGCAGCAGACATGCTTAAAGCCTACGTCCTTTCTGTTATCAAGAAAATAATATCTTACCCGCACATTACTATACTAAGAAAATCACGTATCACTAAGGACGTCTTTTCTGATTGATTTTACAAACATTTCATACCAGTGGCTGCTTCTCACTGGTGGGAACCTGGGCTTGATGACAGCTGCAACATTTTGTGATTCCTTGTCAACATTTCCACCCTTCCTCCAGCTGAAATATTCATCAAATTAATGTTATGCCATTTACTTTTCTCTAATTGTGACTTTATTAATTCATACATATGATCAAGGTATTCTAAGATCAATGAAGAGGATGAAAAGGACGGTTTTCAAGGAATCACAAAATCTTGCCATTGTTGATGAACAAGGTAATGACTTTGAAGGAGTCCATATGTTAAGTGAAAAAAATGATGTCTGACCTCTACATATGCAAAAAATGTACCTTCAGAATCCATCAGCAAGCTGGAAGAAGTGGCTATAGAAGTTGTTAACCTTTACAATGAGACTCCTGTTGTTTATTTATCAACTGGTGGTGAAAGAGATGAAATAGTACTAAATCAAGGAGATTGTGATAATACTGACAATGAAGATGACATTGATAATGCAGACAAATTGCGTATAGATGGCATGGTAAAAATGTGTGATGAGCTGACTAAAGGACTAGAGCAGTCTGCTTTCCCTAGAGAACATGAAATCCTGTCTGTTTAAATACCAATGATATAAGACAAAAAAACGTTATGAATGAGACTCTAGAGGAAATATTTAGAAAAGCCATTCAGCAGAATGCCTCCTTGTCCAGAGAGGACCCACTTCCTATTCCCTTGATGTCATTGTTGGTTCTTCTCAACCAATAAAAATAAAATACAGTGTACAATGACTTTTGTTGTTTGCTCTTGTTTAACAGCAAATACAGATATTCAGGTGATGCTACTGTGCTTCTTAGTTAACCTTGAACACATTATTTATTCACTGTAGTAATGGTATGTCATATTTTTTAGATTTAAGTGTGTATGTGTTAATAAGCATAAAACAATGATTGCTTATTGTTAGCGTACAAATTCACAGTCAGGAAAAATAGTTATGCCAAACAACCTCATTGTCCACAGGGGTGGCTGAGATAGTAACACCTTTGCTTTTATGATGGTTCGATGTACATAAAGTTTGTTTCATGCAAAAAATCACCTAAAATACTGTACAAAAATATTTTCAGGCTATGTGTATAAAGTGTATATAAAACATAAATGAATTTTGTGTCTGGATTGGGTCTCATCCTCATGATATTTTATTATGCATGTGCAAATATTCCAAAATCTGAAAAAAATCTAAAATCTAAAACTCTTCTGGTTCCAGGTATTTCTGATAAGGGGTATCTGACCCATGTTATATACTCTGAGCCTTAAGAGAAAAATGTAATGCAAAAACCATCATGCAGAGAAAACAGGCTGTCACATGTTGCCACTATGAATATAAAGTGTTAAAGTGTATTTTTGTAATTCATTTTATTATTGCCAATCAAAAATTTCTAAATTATGCATTTCACTAATATCAATAGTTTTTGCACATTTGTAGATAAAGTACAAAAGTGTTCATCTTTGTGTTGCTTTTCATGACAAAACATAGCAAACAAACTTAAAGATAAATAATGAAGTAAATTATGGGGCATCTATTTTATGAAATACTTCATAAATGTTAAAAAGCTGTCTATGAATTAACCTTATGAGGCAAGAAAGACTCTCTAAGGCACAGTGTTAAATGTAAAAGTACGCACTAAAATTACTTTTTACAGCTAATATTTATGTTTTTCCCCTATGTCAAATATTCTTCTAAATATCTCAAATTCATTACACTTACATTCTCACAATAAATACAGAATGTAGGTACAATTATGAGTCTTTTTACATATGAGGAAACTGAGTCATGGAGAAATTTATGGGACTTGCTCAACATCACAGGGCTAAATGGTGGAACCTGGAAGCAAACCTAGGCAGCCTGTTTTGAGCTTGTTTTTCATACTGAGCTACAAGTTATAGATACACACACACAGACACACACACGTGTATGTATATATGTGTATGTATATACACATATATAATCATATCTGTATGCATATATGTATATATCTATATATGATATACATGTATGCATATGTATGTCTATATATGTGTTTATATATGTACATATACATATAGAATAACATTTTTAAATACTTCAGTTATTTAAATATAATTATGTTTAAATATAATTGGAAAACAATATAATTTTAATACAATTATTTTAACATAGAATTATTTGTTAAATGATAATTTTAGTGTTAATAATGTCAATACCTATGCCATTGGCTGATGTATATTTTTCACATTTTAATGAGTAAAATTTTGTTTAGAGGTATCATCCCTTCCTGATCTGTATAAAAATTGGTTATTTTATATTTTTTACTGTTTTCAGAGAAACAAATTAAATTTATGGTTAATATGTTTATTGTTTTCATAACCTGATCATTTATCTATTGATAGTCATAATGTTAATATGTTAAAATTAAGTACGAACTTGATAGTATCTGTGGCAGCTACTTTTATAGTGACGTCTGTAATCATACACAGATGCTAAATCATAGTTCACATTTTATCGTTTTAAAAATGTGTTTTGTTTTTCTTATGATGTGTTTTTACATTTTTATGATGTTAGAAAGCGAAAATCCTGCTACCGTGTAAGCATACCTCAGAAATTAAAATGCTGGATATATTTAATGGTGACATTGGAATAAAATGACATTCTTGAAAGCCATGTGTCTAAATATGTGACTTTTTCAAGTATTTGATATTAAGATTTTAAAAAACAACTAAAATACAATAGAGATATTAAGTTACCTGATTCACCACTTAGTAGTAGCAGCCCACTTTTCTCCTGCGCAACACTGTCCTAGGAGCTCTATTGTACCTTAAGTACCCACCCATCTTATTGTGACTCTCCACCCAGGCTGGTTGTCATAAAAAGTGCCCAGTGATCCAGGTGACTACTTCCCCCCACACGAAACCCCCTTCAGAATCACAATTGTTTAGGGACTATTAGGAGTGTTCAATTTACCTAGTTCAAAAAATGTGAGATTAACTTATAACCCCTGAGTTATCTAGATATTTGCATTCTGAAAAGGACAGTCTTTCATCTAAATATTGCTGGTAGAGACTCAAATTCATTTAGAGCCAGAATTCTTAGATCTTCTTCTTCTTCTTTTTTTTTTTTTCTTTTGACAACCAGTCTTACTCTCGCCCAGGATGGGGTTCAGTGGCGCTATCTCAGCTCACTGCAACCTCCACCTCCCAGGTTCTAGCGATTCTCTTGCCTCAGCCTCCCAAGTAGCTGGGATTGCAGGCACATGCCACCATGCCTGGCTAATTTTTTGTATTTTAGTAGAGATGGGGTTTTACCGTGTTGCCCAGGCTGGTCTCAAACTCCTGAGCTCAGGCAATCAACCTGCCTTGGCCTCCCAAAGTGCTAGGATTACAGGCATGAGCCACTGACCCCAGCCTTCCTAGATCTTTTAATCTCTGTTTACTCACATATAAACTGATCCCACTGAACACTAAGGATGAATTTTTTTTTATTTTTTTAGATTTACCTTCTATTCATTTTTAATTTGTGTGGATAAATAATGGTTGTATATTTTTATGGGGTATATGTGATATTTTGATACAAGCATACAATGTGTCCCATTTATTATATGTATTTATCATATTACATATAACATATAAATTGTATACATTTTATCATATCTTATATGTGATAAAATGTAATTTATCATATATTATGTATTTCTCATATGTAATAGATAAGATATTTTATACATGATAAAATATGACATATACCTTGTGTATATGATAAGTGAATACATTAAAAGAAAATAATTTAATAAGTAAAATATTTTTTGAACATAATTTTTCTCCAAATACTAGATTTTATAGCCTACATAAATTACTATTCAATTGTAAAATTATACTTATGTTAAAACATATAATAACAACCCATTTGCACAATGTAACATGCATTTATATATAAATATAACTTAAAATAATAGTACATAGTTTTTAAAAGCCATGATTTATTAATGTAAATTGCGTGAACTATATAAATGATGTAAAACAAAAATTGTTTATCCAATCTGTCCATTTTGGCAGATATCTTTTGATATCCAACATGCCTCTACCATCTCTCACCTGGACCCACCAATATACTTTTAAATCATCCCCCAGCTGTCATTAAGCTTCTTGCCATTGCTCTTATCTCCAAATAATAGCTAGAGTGATTTATAAAGGGCCAATTTATTTTTGTTGCTCTCTCTCTTTTTTATTTTTATGTTTACTTTTTAAAAATATATTATTTATGGAAAGGGGGTCTCACTATGTTGCCCAGGCTGGTCTCAAATTCCTGAACTCAAGGGATCCTCCCTCCTCAGCCTCCCCAAATGCTGGGATTACAGGCATGAGCCACCATGCCAGGCAAGCCACCTTGCCCAACTGCCCTCTCTCTCTTAATACTACTCACTTAAGAATGGTTATAGTATTTTCCAATTACCTAAGCATTTAAAATAATTTATTTAAAATCAAGGGGTTTTTGATATTTTTACTTGTTTGTTTTGTCCTTTTGCTCGAGTATGTGTTTTTGTTTTTTGGAACTTCCTAGTGTCTATTTCAACAATCAAAATGATATAATGCAATTCTCAAAGCCTGAAAGCATTTGGTCAAGAATCAGTATGCTTCATTCTAGATTTCTCTCTGTAATATTAGTACAAAGAATTATAGTGAGTACATAATGAAAATACCTTAAAATCCAACAAAACATGTTTTTCCTTGATATATAGGAAACAAATTCAATTAGATATGAACTTGCTTTGTAAATATTATCTAAGTTTACTAAAGTTTTAATTTAGGCACCTATGTACCATAGCAAAGAATGCAGCATAAAAAAGAATTATAAATAATTTTATAGGTCAGTATACTTAATAATAAAATTTATTAGGCTTACTAAAATGTTACCCAGTAGGAAAGAAATAGAGTTGACATAATAATATTTCATAAGCATTCCAGTCTTTGAAAAATTGCTTAATTTAAAAGTAAGATATTTTGGTTTTGGTTGATTAAGCTATTTAAACAATCTCTACTATTATATGCTGCAGATCTTTAGATAATATGATATAAAGCAAGCTCATAAAAAATATTTACATTTCAAGATATATATATTTTTTCTATTGCTGAAACATTACTGTGTATATTTTTATTGTTTTAAACACATGTTACTATTGAAGTTTTCAAGCAAACTCTTCTGGATTGAAGACGAGAATTTTACATGGAAGTTCCTTACTCACTCTGAACTTTGCAGTAGATTGATTTGCATGATTTTCATATGCAGAGAAAAAGCTATTACTTTAGCTTTCTCGTGTTTTGATTATATTTTATTATTAAATTATTTATCACACATTTTAATGCAAATTTATTTGCCTATGGAGTTGATTCTAAAATATATGAAGGGTTTACATGTAACCTTTTTTAGCCTCATCAGTGGCAGCATCTTGCTGAATAATGTAATGTTTAGAATTACTATTTTAAATTACTTGATGAAAATTACATTGATATGCCAATTAATTCAAATAAATATATTTGATAATAACCAGAATTGTTAATTCCAAACATCTTACTTTCTTTATCCCAGTAAATTTATTAACACGATGAAAATCAGTCAGACTTTTTACTAAAAACAATCACTTATTTGCAACACCACTCCTGAGCTTGAAGTCCTTAGCATACGGGAGGCATTATCATATTTTAAATGCCAACTTTGGTATCTGGCTATCATGGTTCAAATTCTGGCCCTTTCTTATTAGTTATGTGATTTGAGGCAAGTTTGTTTAACTTTCCTGGCTTCAGTTCTCTCATCTGTAAACTGAATATCATATGACCCATTTATCCATAACAAACTTAGAACTGTGAATAACATTTTGCAAGCAATACATAAGATTTGCCATCATATTTATTTTGGCACACTTTTAGTTGGAATTTGGGCTTTTGTTTGTTTCAATCAAATGGTGGCTTCTGTTCTTCCAAGCTAATTAATATTCCCTTGTCCATGAATCTAGAACTCTCATGATATTTCTAACTTCTACTACCAGCGTAGGTTACTAAATGCAGAGATAAAAACCTTATGCAGTTAATGTGACTTTTTTCCTTGCATTTGTTAATGCAGTTAATGTGACTTTTTCCCTTGCATTTTATTATGTACTCACTAACTCAGTCTCCCAAAATCTTGTAGTTATTTGTTTATATTTTTGGAGGGAAGCAATGCAAAATGCCTCCGTGTGGGATGAGTCACTCCAAAGAGTGTGACTAGAGACAGCTATTAGTATTGCTTGACAAAGCAACTTATTATTCAAGCACTGAAAGGGAAAAGAAATTGCAATTGAGTGAGTAGGAAAGGAAAGGCAGAACAGGAAAAACATCAGTACAAACTATGACAGCCAGAAAATTAGATGAAAAGAATGAAGTCAAAGTTCTACAAGGAATACCAAATAGAAGTAGAGCCTGCTGCACTACTTATCAGCTGCACACAGGCCAAGCTCCTCGAGGAAATCCAATTTGTTTATAGGAAGTGACCAAAGAGATAGAGCCGGGCAATTGATCCAATGTGCCCTGTAAGAAAATGTACCAGAGAAGCGGCTTTCCACAATTTAAAATGTTTTCCACTATGCTTTGTTATTTATTAGAAACTACCCACTTTAAAATGGCACAAAGGATCCCAAATTCAGTGAGAGTTACTATTATAAATCACAGCATTTAAATTTACATGACAGAAAAGGTACTGACCACTGAATTCTCATTTTTCAAAATGTATTTAACCCTTTAAAACTGTCTGAGTTTATTCTGAAATATTTGAAAATATATCCATCATCATTACAAGAAACTCAAACCTAATTAGGAAAAATATAAGCAGAGCATTTTGACAAGAGGTATTTCAGATGAAGATTCCAAAGTGAGAGTAGGTAATACGGACCAAAGGATAGCATTACCCTAAAGACAAATGCCATACTGGTGAAAATGTGAGTGATATTGCCATAATCAATAAATATTGCTAAAGAATTAGTAAAGTTGAAGAAGGTGGAATAAACTTTTCCCCAATTGTCTTGAATACAAGAAAAAATGATGTACAACAACTTAAGAAAACTGCAGGTTTAAAGAAAGACATTTGGAAATAGCAGATAATTTTTATAGTATAATAATCTATCAATTATGACAATGACAAATTTCAAGGAAAGTATGCCTAGAAATATAATCCTTGGTTAGAATAACCATTGATATCTAATAATAGACACATATAATATTTAATAGACATGTTTAACAATGTATGCACCTTGTAATTTTATGATTCTGGAAAGAAAAGTCCAGAGAATTGTGTGGTGGTTTCACCTTATCCATATATTCCATATATTTACATATATTCAACATGCAAACCAGAATAATTTTCTTTTACCTCCAGTTTCTTTCCATCCTAATTTAGTTTGTTCTTCATTTTTATATTTGCTATATAACTGACTGAATGATGCCTCTATGGTTATTAGCTGACTATGTGCACAGTAGAAATTAATTGCATTACAGTTGTTTGAAAGTATTGCAGCATCAAATATTCTTGAAAGCATTTGCAGGCTTAATGTTGTGCAAAATGATCTATTAGCTAAACTATATTTAAGCCTATGCTGTCTTTATGCTGAAATGGAAAAATTTTTCAGCTTGATAGAAAAATGCACTAAGTATCTTCAAAGTACACTTTCTAATGTGTATGAATTAATATTCTAACAATAAATTTGCCTTCATAGCAAAACATAATTTTTCATGGTTTCTGTCATTTATATTATGTTTCATTTACAATCTTATTTTAAATGTGGGAGTGTGCAAAACTACTGAATTTCTCTTCATATAATGAAAATATATTTATTTATTATTTTTAACAGAATGTATTATAAAAATACTTAAATGATTAGAGGGATAAAATAGGTAGGTGGTAGTTTACATGGAGATTTTCAAGAGGTTGGTTAAAATATTAAGAAACAATTGACTTTACATGCATGCATCCAACCCACTAATGTTTATTTTGTATTTACAAAAAGCGAGCACTGTTTTGAGAGATGAGAATGCCTCTCTGAACAACACGGACAACTTCTCTGTTTCCTAGAAGCTTACAATATTTTGAAAAATGACAAATAAACAAAATGAATAAATGATCAAATACCCAAATGACAAATATGAGTCTGTGATTCAAGCTCTGAAAATAATTTCAAAAGGATAATGTGGTTAGAGGTGAAAGCAAGTACAGACAAGTTTGATATCTGGGAGGTTTCTCTCACCATTTCCTACATATGTTAAAATATGAATGATAAAGGAGTAGCCAGGAAAAGTACCCAATAGAAGCGTAGTTCAACAAGGGGAAATAGATAATATCACATTCTGTGACAGATATGCCAAGTTGTCATCCAATATTGGGTCTGTTCTTTCTCCATAGAACTAGCAGAATATGTTCCTTCTGCACACATCTTTGGCCAATAATGAATCACCTGTTCTATTTGAGGACACAGGTTTTTGTGGTCATGCCATAGTTCTGAGTCTCCTTCACATATTAGACATATTCCACCTCCAAGGGCCGTTTATCAGCCACACACATGTAGTTAGGAAAGCAGAAATGATAGAGATGTGATTAGAAGATAACTGAGAACATGGATAAAAACTCGTGTCCCTATATGGAAGCCACAGGAAGGAAAGCAGTTGTACTAGTCATTTTGATGTCAGCAGTGGGCCGTCTAGAGCAGCTGCTACCATCACGCTAGTTGCAGCAGGGAGGCGCGAGTGGTGGTGGCTCAAGCAGCTGTGGGAGCAGCAATGGTGACAATGGGTCCCCTATGCCCCGTGTCCCTGAGGCAGGCGACTGCGCTACCCTGACCCCTCACACGGCCAGACAGGACCCGCTCCCAGTCCCGGAGCCTCTGTCGTTACTAGAATCTCACTTCCCGCCACATCCTGGGAGCCCGCGAACACCTGCCTGAAGGCACAGCTGGAACTTGCAGGGTTGGTTCCCAGGATGTCAGATTTGTTTGTGCGGGGATGGCGGGAGAACGCTGGGCCACCTGCACCTCACCCACCACCACTACAGAGTGGGCACAGAGAGGAGGCAGTCAATCTCCAGAACCTACCCCAGAGAGACCCCGGAGCCTGCCACCCTGGTAGCCACGGCGATGCGGCCAGGCCGAGCCACTCACTGGCGGTGGAGCAGTGCCGTCAGGCCTAGAGGGGAGGTCAGAGAGTGGCCCAGTGAGAACGTGGAGCCCCTGGCCCAGGCTGTGAGGAGGCATGGCCAGGGCTGCCTGCACGTTCCACCGAGTGGGTGAGAGCTCCGTCCTCCCAGGAACAGGATTCAGGCATCACTGCACTCCGCACCCTTGGGAACCTGGGAAGGCCCCCCCCTTCCCCCAGAGGCTCACGGGTGTCTACTCCTGCTGCCTGGACTCTTCCCACTCCTGGTGCCTGCTCTGATTTCAGAGCGGGGTTGGGGTTGAGCCCAGGCGCTGTCACAGACTGGCTGGGTGTACGCATGCTCGGGGCAGCTCTGACATGCCAGCCCCTGCAGCCTCCGCCCTCTCCAGACTTTGGGTACTGGGCGGCGATGAGTGCAGGGGGAAATAAAGGGGGCCTGTGACGGAAGCTTGGCGCTTGCTTGCAGGTGCCCCTTGGCAAGAGCAGCCTGGACGCCATGGATGGCAGTGGGAGGCAGACAGGCTCCTAGGTGAATGGGGCAGGCCCCTGGTGAAATCCTACCTTCAAGCCAGGGAAGGAGTGAAGCTGGGGGCTGGGCTGCCGGTCCCCTGGACCAGAGTGGGGACTTGTGGTGCTTTTCTTGGCCTGCCTATAGCCACCCATGGACCAATCTGTGTGCACTTCCTCCACTCTGAGGGCGATAAAAACCCTGGACTCAGCCAGAGCTAAACAGACAACAGGAGGACCAGCTGCAGAGAGGAGCTACTCTCTCTGCTGAGAGGTGCACACTTGTCAGGACACCCTGTCTGTGGAAAGGAGCTTCCCCCTGTAGGTCTTCTCTGAGCTGTTCCATCACACAAGAAAGCTCCTCTTCATCTTGCTCACCCTCTACTTGTCTGTGTACCTCATTCTTCCTGATTGCAGGACAAGAACTTGGGACCCAATGAATGGTGAGGCTAAAAGAGCTGTAACACAAACAGGACTGAAACTTGCCCTTTGCTTGCCACTTTGTGAGCAAAGAAAGTGAGAGGAGTTGAGGCTCTTCAGGAACCCAGACCTGGGAGCACCCTGACTAAGGCTGTGACTCCGTCTTTGGGGTCCTAAGGTTCCTGGCACTTCTAAGCTTCCAGGGAGCACCACGTTCCCCAGTGCAAGCCGTGGAAGCTGCTTCCGGTGTGCCTGGTCCTGCCACAGCCTCACAGAGAGCAAGCACCCATGCCAGCACCTGGAGCTGCCTGCCCCACTGCAGCAGCAAGCGTGTCTGGCTGTGCACAGTGGCTGAACCCCATGCTTGCTCACAAACCTCTCGCTGCTCCATGCCTGACTTGCCCTTGGCAGGTGTGGGATCCAGGCTGCGAGAGTGAGCTGAGCACAGCCTGCCATGTCGAGTGGGTAAAATGAGCCCAGTGGCCTGAGCAAAACTTAGGCAAAGGCGCCACTGGCCACAGAGGTTTCCAGCCAGAAAAGCAACACCCCAAGGATCCTGTAACAATCTGGAAAAAGGCAAAGAGAAAAGATTTTAAGCTGAAAAATACCAGCACGAGGAAGAAATCAAAATATCATAAATTCTACATTTTTCTTGTCTTTATGTGAGGAAAATTATCCTTTCCTATTTGTATTGCCAGTGGCGCTGACATCATTGAGAAGCTACCTAGGCCTCCCAAAAAATACATGTACCTTCTTGCCAGCTAGTATTATGATTTAAAGATTTTATTTTAATTTTATTCCTGTGCTATCTTGTTGACTATTCAAATTTAAGTTAGGAAAAGGTAGCAGGGTGACCAAGAGAGGCTTTTTATCATACGTTACTTAGAAGCAGCTAATCAGTTTAGAGGGAATACAGAGTAAAGCAAGGAAGAAAAGAAGGAAAAATAAACATACACACATGGTGTTATCTGTTGAGTTAGAACTATTTACTAAGGATAACCCTTATTTTGGCCATCCTATTGTTATAGTAGGTAGTTAAGCAGACATGAGCAAGGGTAGGAGAGACACCCACTCCACACCAGGAATGTCAGGCAACCATCAGGTGATGGTCAGGTGTTAAACTGTCTCTGTAAAATAGTAATTGGTTGCAGGTGGTGCCAGGGAAAGGCATTTTCCCAAAAGATAGAAAACACCTGAAGCTGGTGATGAGCTGCTTCCGGATAAAATCTCAAGAGTTGGTCAAGTGGGCTCAAGCAAGCGTACTGAGTCAAAATGACAGTTTAACTGGTATATGACCTTCCTCTAGGTACACTCCACTGATAAGGGAAAAATGCCTCAAGTGGACATGTGTACAACTTCCGTAAACACACTGCCCCTACATCCCCTCCCAAGTGCTGGCAGGCTGCTGAGGATGAAAATGCCAACATATCAAGACCCAAGTCAAAGGTTAAACGGTGCATGTGAATCCCTGAAGTCACTCACTTGGCCCTTTTCCAAGTGTACTTTACTTCCTTTCATTTCTGCTCTAAAACTTTTTAATAAACTTTCTCTCCTACTCTAAATCTTGCCTCAATCTCTCTCTCTGCTTAATACTTCTTGGTCAATTTTTTTCTTCTGAGGAGGCATGAATTGAGGTTTCTGTAGACCCATACCGATTTGCTGCTGCTAACACTATGAAGTAGTAAAGGAAGAAAGAAAAACTGCATGTCATTATTGCAAGGAGCCAGAACACTGGATGAGGGATTGTAGAAAGAGGCCCTGGGAAATATGGACAGAGCAGAAATAAAGGATTTAGGAAAGCCTAAAAGGACAAAACTCTCAACTAGAGAAACAGCTTAAAATTTATGGGTCTGGAAAATCTCAGAGCTAGAAATTGGTGAAATGTTTCAGTAATGTTCCTTTCTGCTAACTTGCCCTGGCATTTTCTGGTAGACACTGGTGCTATTTATTCCTCAGAAATTTCTTGCTTTTAATCTAATGAGAAATCAATATTGTTTTTGGTATTTTAAGTAAGCCTTCCACTTTTTCCTTTTTATTTTTTCTTTTTTACTTTTACTCTGTGGATTTCATACAAATACTTTCTTCTAAATGAGGGACCTGCTTGCTTGCTTTCTCTTGATTCTCTTGTAAATCAGCTGGAGCGATATCTGCTGGGAAAATTGAAGGCTACCACATTCACTATTCCAGATGGGATGTTTATAGTAAACTCCTTGGATAAAAAGGCATCTGATTTGGTTATTTTGTCTCTTCTGAAAGGAAAAGGCTTTGGTAGAGAGTGTCAGTCTCACACTGTTGGAAAAATACCCTCAATAAAAACAAATTGATGAACTACGTTGGGCCCTGGGAAATAATACTTGTTTAATATTATACGTAAAACCGATGAAAACAGCTTACTAAAACAATAAGCCATGGTTATGTGTAAGACAATATACTTTGCCGAGAGCTCAATTAGAAAGAATGAAACAGTTATAAAAGAAATTGAAAATAAGGGATAAATAGAAAGGCCACTTACCTATAATACTCCCTTATTTCCAGTTTTTTTTTTTTTTTAAAGAAGGTTTATTTCATCAAGTAGTCACCACTGAACCACTACATATATGGATTTGTAGAAGACCTTAGTGAAATAAATAAATGTGTCGGTCGGCTAAACGCTATACTTTCTACCCTGCAACTATTCTAAATTTGTTACCATCATTTGCAAAGCTTTTCTCTGTAGTTAATCTATGTTTTGGACTCTTCACCCCCACCCTTGCCACCCCACTGATTTCTCTAGCAGATAACTCTAAAATCTTGTTGGATTTTACTTAAAAAGGAATCTAGTATTTAGGACAAAGGATTCATTAAAGGTTTCAAGATTTTTTTTTTTTTTAGTCATTTACAGGAAAACTTAGAGAAATTTGTCCCATGAGAGGGATTCATAATTATTCTATGCATAAATAATTTGCAGGTGCCTAGGAAACCAAAGAGCAAAGCAAAACTGATTCATTGACATAATTCATTGCTTCACAGGGGAAAGAGGCCTCATTAGACAAATTACAACACTGCCAAAGTGCAGTAAAATATTTAGGGCATTTGTTGTCAGGTGAAAGCAGCAAAGCATTAAAATCTGAGCTAGCCAATTCAGAAAAAAGACGGCAAACTAACACATAAAAAAGCTTAGACAATTTTTGGGATGAGTAAGGTATTGTAGACTGTGAGTTTATTTTTTATATTACATTTTCTTTTTTATAGATTGATAAATTTGTTTTTTTCTGCTTTATTGGGGTATAACTGACAAAAATTGTATATATTTAATGTATAAAATGTGTTGTTTTAACATATGTGTACATTATGAGATGACTATCACAATCAAGCTAATTAACATATTTATCATCTCACATAGTTACATTTGGGTGGGGGTTGTGTGAAAACTTTAAGATCTACTCTTGCTAAAGTTCAAATATACAATACAGTATTATTAACTATAGTTACCATGCTGTACATTTCGTGAGATCTCCAGAATTCATTTATCCTGCAAAACTGAAATTTTGTGTCTTATGACCAATATCTCTCCATTCTCTGACCCTGCACACCCTGGTAATTACCACTCTACTCTCTACATCGATGAGTTCCACTTTTTAGATCATGTGGTTTTTGTCTTTCCGTGTCTGGCTTATTTTACATAGCATAATGTTTTCCTGACCGACCAATCCATGTTGCTGCAAATGACAAGATTTCCTTCCTTTTTAGGGCTGAATAGTATTCCATTGTATGTGATTTTATATATATATATATATTTTTTCATATAGATGTGTGAAGCAATGAATTATGTCAATGAATTTTATATATATATATATATATATATATATATATATATATATATGTGCTGCAATGAATATGGGAGTACATATAACTCTTTGAGATAGTGATGGCATTTCCTTCAGATATATATTAAAAACTTGGATTGCTGGATAGTATGGTAGTTCTATTTTTGATGCTTTGAGAAGCTTTCATACTGTTTTTCATAATAACTGTCTCAGTTTTTGTGGAGTAGGTAAAATCACTAATGGAGCAGTTGATACTTGATAATTCTCCACATTCTCTGGACCAGTTACTTGGCTCTGAAAACTTTTGAACAACTGAAGTTGACTGTTGTCTCTTCCTCAGCTTTGGGAATTCCAAATTTTGAAACAAAATTACACTAGATTTTTCAAGAAAATAAAAGTCCTTCTGGTAAAATTTTAACTTAACAGCTGAGAGTAGGCTAGAGACCAGTGGTTTATTTTTTAGTTGTAGATGTAGTCGCACTGGAATTGCTTGGATGCTTAAAAGATTGCAAACAGCAGTCACACTATTTTACAAAGATAGAACACTACCTTAGATATCTTAGAAATTTTCTTAAAAGTTCAGCACACACAACATTTTTCAGTGTGCTCTGAAGTGTTTCCTTTTTCAAAAGCTAGTTGCAAGACAGTCGTAAAGCCTCTCTCAATACACAAAATTCCTACATTTGTGACATTAGAACTTACAGAATCATCAGGAAAAAATTTATTTTTATTGTAATCCAGTAATTATGAAACTATAGACTCCTCTATTAGCTATTATATTTGTTTAACTATGGTCCTTCGGACAAATAGAGTGGATGAATCACACTCAACAAAAAAAAAACTCAATGGCTAAGCTTCAACAATCTATTGGGTTAAATGGCCTAGAGATTTACTACTAGCCTTGTTAAAAAATTACATTAATCCCGCAAGCAAGATTAGTGTATTAGTCAGTGTTCTATTTGAGGGACAGAACTAATGGGATAAATATATCCTATTAGTATATATACATAAATGGGAGTTTATTAAGCATTTACTTACATGATTACAAGGTGTCACAATATGCTGTCTGCAAGCTGAGGACAAGGAGAACCAGTCAGAGTCCCAAAACTGAACAACTTGGAGTCTGATGTCCAAGGGCAGCAAGCATCCAGCACGGGAGAAAGATGTAGGCTGGGAGGCTAGGCCCGTCTCTTCTCTTCACGTTTTTCTGCCTTCTTTATATTCACTGGAAGCTCATTAGATGGTGTACATTCAATTACAGGTGGGTTTGCCTTCTCCAGCCCACTGACTCAAATGTTAATCTCCTTTGGCAATACCCTCACAGACACCCCCAGGATCAATGTTGCATCCTTCAATCCAATCAGGTTGACACGCAGTATTAACCATCACAAGTCCACCCCTTGTCAACTTGAACCCATACACATCTCCTGAGGTCATACATTATCTTCAAATAAAGACAATAATAAGATCATAATAACATCTAACATAATATAGCTACCCTTTGACAACCAGAACTGCACCAGTCCCCAACCCAAATGCTATTACATAAAGCTAACAATACTTAAATGCTGATATGAACTCCATAAATTTTATTTCACACGATAAAGGAAAAGGTAATAAAATGAAGATATTTTCTTAGTACAAGTATATACATGAACAAACACATTTTTAACAAAAAAAGGAGGAAATACTCAGGACAATTAGTCCTTGTTCCTGCTGGTCACGTGGTCGTAGCTGGTATTGATGACTACCTTCTTCCACTACCCATTCTGTATCCCTCTTGCATTCAGCAAGCACCTCAACAGGTTGTGGTTCTTCTCCTGGTGGAGTGAACCAAAGCTTCATTCCTGAAGGGTCTGTTTCAATGGTAGTCCTGCCTAGATTGGGCTGTTGGAGTTTCCCATTGCCCTTAAACACAGGTCATGGTAATACTAAGAGATGCCTTAATGGATCTCCTGTATTTCATGCATACTCTTCCTTACTTCCATTGTGAACTAGTAGAGTGATTTCATCTTGATACTCCAGGTCAATCACGTCAGCCAATACTGTAACTCCCTTCTTAGCCTGTTGACTTATAGGTAAGAGGAGCCCAAAGTGTCCAGGTGGCAATCTTAACTTCCAGTTTAATGGAATCATTGTTGTGTCTGCTGGTGGCAGCCTTCCTCCCTCTGGAACTAAGACCTCTAGGCCAGCAGAATGTAATGTCACAGGAACAGGAAGCAAAAATTTTGCTGGTGGATCACTAGGGATGACGGTGAGTGGTGCCACTTCCACTTCCACTTCCACCACTTGATTCATGGACCTGGGAATCCTGGCTGTGGGAGAAACAGTACAATATATAGGACACTAATTCAGCCCATACATAGACTTCTGGAGAACTTTGCCCCAGCCCTGCAAAGTATTGTCACCCAGTAGGCATTGTAACTGTGACTTAAAAAGGCCATTCTACCATTCTATCAATCCAGCTGCTTCAGGATGATGGGAAACATGGTAAGACCAGTGAATTCCATGAGCATGAGCCCACTGCTGCACTTTTTTAACCATAAAGTGAGTTGCTTTGTCAGAGGCAATGCTGTGTGGAATATCATGATGGTGGATAAGGCATTCCATGAGTCCGTGGATGGCAGTCTTTGCAGAAGCATTGTGAGCAGAATAGGCAAACCCATATCTGGAGTAAGTTTCTATTCCAGTGAGGACAAACCTCTGCCATTTCCATGATGACAGAGGTCCGATATAATCAACCTGCCACCAAGTACCTGGCGGACAACCCCCAGGAATAGTGCCATATTGAGGGCTCAGTGTCGGTCTCTGCTGTTGGCAAACTGGGCCCCACACCACTGGACCCCTAGAAAATTTATTGAGGTAGAAATCCCTGAATTTTAGTCGTATTTATTTCCCATCCTCTGGCACACAAATGTCTCACCAATATGGCCAGTGTGTTTGCTACTTCTTGCTCACTGGATCCAATCAGCATAATATCATCAATGTAATGGAACAGTGTGATACCTTCCAGAAGCGAAAAATGATCAAGTTCTCTCTGAATAAAATTATGACACAAAGTCAGAGAGTCGATATACTCCTGAGGTAGGACAGTAAAGTCATATTGCTGGCCTTTCCAGCTGAAGGCAGATTGCTTCTGGTGGGCCTTATGGACAGGAATGGAGAAAAAGGCATTTGCCAAGTCAATGGCTGCATACCAGATACCAGGAGACATGTTGATTTGTTCAAGGAATGAAACAACATCTGGTACAGCAGCTGCAATTGGAGTCACTACTTGGATAAGCTTACAATAATCCACTGTCATTCTCCAAGATCCATATGTCTTCTGCACAGACCAAATGGGAGAGCTGAATGGGGATGTGGTGGGAATCACCACCCTTGTGTCTCTCAAGTCCTTGATGGCGGCACAAATCTCCACAATCCCTCCAGGGATGCAATGTTGCTTTTGATTTACTATTTTTCTAGGTAGAGGCAGCTGTAATGGCCTCCATTTGGCCTTTCCCACCATAATAACCCTCACCTTACCTGTCAGAAAGCCAATGTGGGGGCTCTGCCAGCTGCTAAGTATGTGTATGCCCATTATGCATTCTGGCACTGGGGAAATGACCACAGGATGTGTCCAGGGACCTGCTGGACCCAGTGACCCACTGTAAGTCAGACATGAGCTAAAACTCCATTAACTGCCTGACCTCCATAAGCCCCTACTGTAACTGCAGTACCACAATGACATCTTGTTTCCCCTGGAATCAATGTCAGCTCAGAGCCAGTGTCCAGTATTCCCCAAAATGTCTGATCATTTCCCTTTTTCGAGTGCACAGTTACCCTGGGAAAAGTCCGGAGGTCTCCTTGGGGAAGGATGGGAGAAAGATTCACTGCATAAATTGTTGGTAATGTAGTGGAGTCCTTCCTCAATGGCTCATATATACATATGACCCAGCAGATAAAATGATGCTTGAGATGTTTGTGGCAGATAGATACATATATAGATATAGATATAGATATAGGCATAGATATATATGCCCATCTCATCTCTTCACATTTTTCTGCCTGCTTTATATTCACTGGTGGCTGATTAGATGGTGCCCACCTGATTAAGGGTGGCTTTGCCTTCCCAGCCCACTGACTCAAAAGTTAATCTCCTTTGGCAACACCCTCACAGACACACCCAGGATCAATATTGCATCTTTCAATCCAATCAAGCTGACACTTAGTATTAATCATCACAACTAGTATTATTCTCTTTGAATGTATGCTTGACAGGACTATCAACTTGTGTTTGAGACCCTGTCCTATGCCTAATTTAACTGACTCCTCTCATAATCATGCGCTCTCTCTCTGTGTGTTTATATATATGTAGATAGATAGATAGATAGATAGATAGATAGATAGATAGATAGACAGATAGATAGATAGATGATAGATAGAGTGCAAGGGGATAAGTGAGAATTATTCACTCATCCCCTTGCATTGACATGCTCAATATTTAATTAGAGCATCTCTCTTTTCTAGAAAATCGAAGACACAAAGTCATAAGTACCTGAGAGGAAAGATAAGCTGTCGACATACTGAAAGGAAGACTTTCTTTTTTTTTATTATTATTATACTTTAAGTTTTAGGGTACATGTGCACAATGTGCAGGTTAGTTACATATCTATACATGTGCCATGCTGGTGTGCTGCACCCATCAACTCATCATTTAGCATTAGGTATATCTCCTAATGCCATCCCTCCCCCCTCTCCTCACCCCACAACAGTCCCCAGAGTGTGATGTTCCCCTTCCTGTGTCCATGTGTTCCCATTGTTCAATTCCCACCTATGAATGAGAACATGCGGTGTTTGGTTTTTTGTCCTTGCGAAAGTTTACTGAGAATGATGATTTCCAATTTCATCCATGTCCCTACAAAGGACATGAACTCATCATTTTTTATGGCTGCATAATATTCCATGGTGTATCTTTCAAGTACCACTGATTTTTCATACAGCTACAAAAGTAAAGTAAGTGTCCTGCTGTATCCATGCTTCCTGTGTAAAGCCAGTACCTCAGGACGACTGGACTGTGGCTTCTACAAGGCAATGAAACTTAAGTTTTTGAGAGTATGACACTGGTACTGAACTCAATTGAAAGGAGATATTCTAGAGAACTTACTACTATTCTCATATTTTGCCTTGCTCTCCTATCCGCAGAAATGAGTACTTCAAATACTTTAAGAATCTTATTTCATTTGAAAACAAACATATTATTTGTTAGGGTACTTTTTCTTACAGTACTCCCAGTAATGGTTCCCAGACTTAAGTGAACCACTAGGTACTGAGATTATGACTGCACCAGAAAAGGTAGAATGATGAAGAAAAGAGAAACTTCTAATTAATAGGTCAACAGATATCTGGCATTTACAGACAGAGGCTGCAAAAGACAGTTACAATGTCATTCAATTAACTTTGGGTTGTAAATTTATTCCAAGAAAAGCATGAATAGATAAACAAAGGTGGAAGTCCTTATTTTTCATGAAGACTTAATTGACTATTATAATCATGTAGCTATTGATTTGACCCAATGTGAGAAATGACCCATGGTTTGTGCTTGTCCTAAAGACTTAAAGCAATTAAAACCATGTACATTAAACATTGGAAGTTCAATCTGTACACTTCAATGTGTCCCTATATTGCAACTTTGTTGTTAGGTAATGGGCATAGATATCTGTGTTTCACATCTGGGGAAAAATATTTGGGGAAATAGAATAATTGCCAAAGGATCTATATTTTTGTGTAAATGTAATGTTACATATATGACTAGTAAAACTCATTGGACTTCACAAGAAAAACACTAAGTTGAAAAGTTTAGATTATCGAGATCCACAGTTAAGCTACTCCTTATGCTTGAAATGAATAAAATTTCATGGGGTACCATGAAATAATTTACAAACACTGTGGTTAATTATTTGAATGTACAAACAATAAAGACATCACATCAGTTTGTGCAATTCATGTACAGTAAAGGAGAGATTTTTACACATTGCTAAATAAGAATCTGCTTTAACAATTTATCATTGGTCTGATATATTTAAAGTTAATCCCCCCAAGGCAAGTATTGTACTAGGTTTTTAGACACATCATCCTGTTGTAATTCTCATTATTACTTAATTTTGTGTTTTATTAGAGACTTGCTAGATATTTGGTACCTGCAAACTACTCTGGGAAAGATACAACTACCAAATTCGTGTAAAGACACTGTGGCATTGAACTTCCAATGGAGATCATGAAAAAGTTGTAGTGTTACTATCACATAATAACAAAAGGGAGACATTGTAAGATTAAGTACAAATCTAAAAAAAAATAACATATTTTAGTTTTCCTAGTATGAAAAATAAAAAACCTTCCTTTTTTTCTTTTTTCATCTCTTTAAAAAAATGTATTTGTAAATCATTTCTTTATATATTTTCAAGGTACACAATTTTTAGAAAAGAAAAATTAGCCTATTGCCAGTTTTGTGTGCCAGACTGACTTTCTTGAAGGTCTTGGAGCCTTCCATTTGAAATGTGAACATCAGAAAGGGTGGCAGCCGACCCTAATCTGCTCTCTGTGGGAGGTTAGCCCACGCACTTGGCACCAAGTTTTAATTTCTGCTTATAAAAAAGATACAGTAAATAAATATGCCTGCAAAAATAGATTTAGTTTCTGAAGCTGAAAATAGTAAAAATGGTGAAAATTCACTTCAAAGCATTGACATGCTTTGAATACATGCTATAGGTACAATAAAACCTATAGTACCATATATGCCCCATCTCATTACTCATAATTAGACTCACTTACTGCTGGATTTTCCTTATAGTCAATAAAGTCTCAACAGCATTTTATTCCTGATCTTGGTGAAACATATCATCACAGTGCCTTTGTGTGAATTTGTTTATATCGTACAATTGGATAATTTTTGAAAAATATTAATTATCTGTATCAATAATATATTTTGTATATCCTGCAAACTATTGTTTCTGGTAAGTATTTTCAAATATCTTGGCGGGGGGGAAGAATCTAATTTTGTTAAGTTCACCACAATTAGATGGTGGTGATATATTAGTGGTGATATATCACCACAAATAGATAAATCAATCAAATTTCCAACTTTTTCAAAACATTGCTTCAAATGATTTAAGATGACATCAGTAGTGCTATTTATTTGGCTCACATTTTAGTTAATCCCTAGAGTATAGTATATAATAAAATGTTATATTACATTAATATGAAAATATGGTGTAACCAGAAAAAACAAGTGAATATCTTATTTATGTAATTTAGTTCCTGGACAGCTTATACAATTATTATGTATTTAATAGTAAGTTTCCTTCATGTACTTCTAAATATACCCAATTAAAAAGGAGTTTACAACTGTTGCCTGGAAGACTTATTATTGTGCAAAATATTGTGTCTATAACATCTTTTATATAACTGCAAAGTTTACATATTCTTTTAGTTTCCAGAAAACTAGACATTAAATTCCACTAGATATTAATTTTTGTGGCCCTACATCAATTAACCACTATTTCTTCTGAGTTACTACTTAATAGATACTATCAATATTTCTTTTGCATATAAAAATTTTGAGAAAGTAAGAGGAGATAGACTGAAACAATTGAGTTATGAAAGAATAAACTGTTCATTACTACAGACATTCTCTGTCTCTTTTCACCTGTACCTTTCAGAATTAATATACAGTATAGGAGTTTTTATATTGTCATTTGTGAAACAGTTAGAAATATAAGTTTCTTGAAAGCATATATTTAAAAGGAGTTAAATGGAAAATTTTTGAATACATAGCTTATACAAATAAAATTTTGCTGATTTTTGAGTAGCTAAAGGGACTGGCTTCCTTGGAAAACAAAATACAACAGCAGTTTGTTAAATTATCTCGGTCAAAATTTGCAATAATGTTTACAGCTTTAATTATCTGAGTTGATACTCTTTCCTTGTTGCTGAGAGAATTAAACGATTTAAAAATAGTTTAATTTTCATTTTGCTAAGAATAGTATATGTAGAGGGGGGACAAATAATGCAATTTTCAAACTAGAAAACTCAGTGACACAGATTTAAAATGTCAATTTGAAAAAAATTATAATAATGTGCAGCATTAGTCATATTATACATAATAAGATTTTACTTTAAGTTCTTACTTCTAAATAACTTCACTCAGTTTTTTCTAATCCCAGGATAACCTGAACAGTAAAGATAGGCATAACGTTGAAGGATATACTGTCTGATTCTGGAGGAAAAAAATAATATATTTTATAACCTGTGCCACTATCCAATATGCAGAAGTAGTGTCTTTTTGGAATTTGGAATTTAGAGACACTTTAAAGGTAAATGGGATGAATCTGTTTTAGAGAATTATAGGAGTTCCCCTCTCTTTCTCCCTCATACCCCATTGCAATTTCCCTAGTTCTGTATTAGTCTGTTCTCACACTGCTATGAAGAACTACCTGAGACTGGGTAATTTATGAAGGAAAGAGGTTTAATTGACTCACAAGTCCACATGTTTAGCGGGAAATATGACTGGGCAGCCTGCAGAAACTTACAACCATGGAGGAAGGCGAAGGGGAAAACAAGGACCTTCTTCACATGGTGGCAGGAGAGAGAGAGAGAACGAAGGAGGATGTACCACACACCTTTAAACCATCAGTTCTTGTGCAAACCCACTATCTATCATGAGAACAAAACATAGAAAATTTGACTCCATGATCCATTCACCTCCCACTAGGAATTATAATTCAAAATCTCCCTCCCCTAATACTAAAAATTATAATTCAACATGAGATTTGGGTGGGGACACAGAGGCAAACCACATCAAGTACGATGGATTCCAGGACATGAATAGATGTTCTTTCAATTGTGCTTTATTTTGAGTCTTAGATTAATATAACTGCTTAAGTTCTGTTTCCACTTAGATTTGTCAAAAACTCTTTAATGATTACAGTGACTTTCTGTGGCATTATATTGAAAATGAAGAATTGGAAGCAAATAGATAGAGGCTTGGCATCGTAAGTGCAAATGATATGCCTAAAAGTGAAAATAAACATGGACATTATTCTTAGTAAGGATTGCAGGAGAGTTATTTTTACTATTCTATGAGACCACAGATGTGGAAGAAATATATTCTATCTCAGAGCCATAGAAGCTTGAGAGAAGAGAACCAATGATATGAACCCGGAGAACACACTTATTGAACAGACATTCAATGCAACAGAATTAGAAAATAAAAATGGAGTTAGAGAGTGAGACTCCCTGGCCATAGAATATGAGAAACAAAAAAAGAAATCAGAAAGTCAAGACCTTTCTGGAGAAAATTATTAGCCGAAGAGGTTGATGTCATCAAAGATCAAGTGCTCCAATGGGCTCTTGATATTCCTTTTTGTAATGTGGAAGATTTCCCATGTGTGTGTTTGTGTGTGCACATGTGCGCATCCACACGTGTGTACATCCAGTAAATACTGTATATAATAGCACAAATTGAATTAGTTTTCAAAAATTTCAGTTGTTTCTGTGCTGATGCTTTTTTTGAAAGAAAAATTGTTAGCTTAGTTTTAATAATACTAGTTGTTTAAATTACTCTATGCATTTATATGAAATACATTTTCAAATTAAGAATGCAGTACTCCACCTTTATCCACAGTTTTGCAGTTACCCATGGTCAAGTGTGGTGCAAAAATAAATCAGCACAGTACAAGATATTTTGAGAGAGAGACTATATGAACACAAATACTATTATAGGCTATTGTTATATTGTTCTATTTTATTATTAGTTATTGTAAATATCTTAATGTTCCTAATTTATCAATTAAACATTATTATAGGTATGTATTTATAGGAAAAATCATGATGTACATAGTTTTGTACTCCCCATGGCTTCAAGCATCCACTGGTGATCTTGGAATGTATCCTTCATGGATAAGGAGAAACTACTTTATTCTTACCAGAACTGCTAGCCTCTGGACACCACGAATATTGTTATTTTTTATTTTTCTTTAAACTCTTATTTTAGGTTAACCGTACATGTGTAAGTTTGTTATATAGGTAAATTGCGTGCCACAGGGATTTGGTATACAGATTATTCCATCACCCAGCTAATAAGCATAGTACCTGACAGGTAGTGTTTTGATCCTCCCCCTCCACTCCCCCTCCTCTCAAATAGAGGGTTCCTGAATCCATGATCTCATTCTTTTTTATGGCTGAGCAGTATTCCATGGTGGATATGTACCATGTTTTCTTTATCTAGTCTACCATTGATGGGCATTTAGGTTGATTCCATGATTGCTATGGTGAATAGTGCTGCAATGAACATACATGTGCATGTGTCTTTATAGTAGAACAATTTATATTATTTTGGGTATATACCCAATAATGGGATTTCTGGGTCAAATGGTAGTTCTGTTTTTAGTTCTTTGAGAAATTGCCACACTGCTCCCCACAATGGCTAAACTAATTCAAATTCCCACCAGCAGTTAATAAGTGTTCCCTTTTCTCCAAAACCTTGCCAGCATCTGTTATTTTTTGACTTTTTAATAATAGTCCTCCATAAATTCTTTTCAATGGCCTCATTGTTTTATCACATTGTCTTGAAGATTAGAGGTTTTCTATAGAAGAACTGATTTGATGGCCAAGCTTATTTCATATCCTCTCCCTTGCATTTCCTGGGGCAGTGAAGGGAAGTATCTTGGTTCTTCATATTTTGTATTAATCTATGAGACATTGTTTCATTAAGGAATTATAAAATGGGAAGAATGTTAAAATATTAAGTCCAAAATACGTAAACAAAATATAAATGCATTTAAATCAAGTACCTGAACATTATAATTAGATGGTGTTAAGTTATGTATTTATTTCACTTTTCTCATCTGTAAAATAATGACTGGATTAGTGTTTTTACACACAACCATTATAAGGAATATGCGACATAAGCAATGACCAATGCCAATTTTCATGTGTTAAATGTCACAGTTGTTTTGCTCTGGCTTTAAAAAGAAATATTCCAATATAAATATAATCCATCCTATTTAGAGATAAAGAATCTGAGGCTTAGAATGTTAAAATGCTGCCTAGGTAAGGTCTTATTTAATAGTAGAAATTAACTTTCTTCCCGGAGAAACAAGAGGAAATACATAATTCTGTGAATTTTTAGAAGAGGTAAAACATAAAAAGGGACCTATTTTAATAGTAAATGTGGATACATGATATAAATTCAAATACATGCTCTAATTCTAAATCTTTAAAGTACTAGATACGACACTATATTGCCACATTTTATTTATCAATTTCTTGTGCATATCCCCAACTAAATTTTGAACACCTATATAATTGAAATCATGTATATTTCAATTACTTTTCAAATACGGGGTCTTTAACAAGAAGCTAATTTGCAATGCTCAACATATATTTTATTTAATAATATAATTAACTAAGGGACTTATAAATGTAAATTCCTACAGAATAGTTACATATAGATGATGTAGGTTAACAGAATATTTGGCATCTAATTTGCTTAATGGAGCAAAGTGCCTTCTTCACTGTTATATTCATTGCCAGGATGGATTAAGCATACACAGACATGCTACATATTTCCATGTAAAATGAAGAGTGAAAACTGCAATATAGAGACAAGAAAGGGACATCTGCAGCAAGTCTGTCTATTATGGAGCTTGTAACTGTTGATCCCGCTGAGTTCATAATGCTAAAAGGACTCCCTTCCTGCTGAGTGCACAGTCTTTGGTGCACGCTTGACTGGGCTTTCTGAATAAGTGTAGCATCCTGCAGTAGTGAGTCATGGAGATGCTGAGAGGCCTTGATCTTCAATGATTCATATTGCACACAAGGGAAAATTGCTCCAGCTTATTACTTTATTTATTGTTTATCCAGACTCTCATTATTTTATGAATACATGCCAATAAAAACAAATATGTAGAAATTATTATTTTGAAATTACAAGTAAGAACTGTTTTTGTCAACTTATTTTATATTATATATTGTAGTTTTAGTGCTGTTTCTTAGAGGAAAAAGCTATACAACTTTAGTTTTCAGCCTTTTGAGATTTTTGAGAATCAAGAAAATTTTGAAATACTTTATTTTCAAATTTATTTCTTTTTAAAATGGACACATAAAATTGTATGCATTTATTGTGTGCCACATTATGTTTTAAATATATATACATTGTGGAATGGTTAAATCTCGCTAATTTACCTATACTTTACTTCACATAGTTATCAATTTTGCGGTAAGAAACTTAACATGCACTATCTTAGCGTTTTTCAATAATATAATATATTGTCATTATCTATATTCATCATCCCATACAACATTTATTCCTTCTATCTAATTATTTATCCTTTGACCAACATTACCCTAACTGTTGCTCTCCACTGGATACCCCAGGGACTATTGGAAGCCACCATTCTACTCCCTACTTCAAAGGATCAACTATTTAAGATTCCACACGTGAGTGAGATTATGTGGTATTAGTCTTTCTGTCTCTGGCTTATTTCATTTGATATAATATCCTCCAGGCTCATTCATGTTGTCACAAATGACAGAATTTATTTTTTATGGCTGAATAGTATTCCAGTGTGTGTGTGTATGAATTATATTTTCTTTATTCATTCATCCATTGATGAACACATAAATTAAATTAATTCAGTATCTTGGCTATTGTAACTAGAGCTGCAGTAAACATAATAGTGTATGTCTTCGATGTTCTGATTTCTTTACTTCTGGATATTTGCCCAGCCGTGGCATTGCTGGATCATAAGGTAATTCCATTTTTGATTTTTTGAGAAGTCTTCATACTGTTTTCCATTATGAGTGTAGTAATTTACATTCCTACCAACAGTGTGCAAGGGTTCCCTTCTCTCCACATCTTCATCAATATTTGTTATCTTTTGTCTTTTTGATAATAGTCATTCTAATAAGAATGATTTGACATTGTGGCTTTGATTTGCATTTTTCTGATGATTAGTGAGGTTAAGCAATTTTTCATATATCTGTTAGCCATTTTTTGTATTTTGGGAAATGTGTATTCAAATGTCTTGTTCATCTTTTAATCAAGTTATTTGTTTTCTTGCTATTGAGATGTTTGCATTCCTTATATATTTTGGAATGTACACCTTAATAGATATGTGCAAATATTAACAATATTAATAGATAAAATAGATAGTAGATAATATTACTATATAGTGTGCAAATATTTTCTCCCATTCTGTAAGCTGTCTCCTCATTCTGTTAATTGTTACCTTTGCTGTGCAGAAGCCTTTTAGTTTGATTGAATTTCACTTGTCTATCTTTGCTTTCATTGACTGCTGTGTTTTTGAGATTAAATCCAAAAAAATTAATTCCCAGACCAACATCACGGAGCTTTTCCCCTGTTTTCTTCTAGTAGTTCCACAGTTTTACAAGTGAGTCAGTCTTTAATCCATTTGGGGTTTATTTTTAAATACGATGAGAGATAAGAGTCTAATTTCTTTCTTCTACATGTGCATATCCAGTTTTCCCAGCAGCATTTATTGAAAACTATCCTTTCTCCATTGTATGTTCTTTGCACCTTTGTCAAAAATCAGTTGTCTGTAAAGGCTTAGACTTATTTATGCTCTTCCCATTCTGTTCCAGTGGCTTATGTGTATGTTTTAATGCAGTACCATGCTGCTTTGGTTACTGTAACTTCACAGCATATTTTGAAGTCAGGTAGTGTGCTATCTCCAGCTTTATCGATTTTGCTTACGATTGCTTTGGCTGTTTAGTCTTTTGTGGTTCCATATAAATTTTAGGATTTTTTTTCATTTCTGAGAAGAATGCCATTGGTATTTTGTTAATGATTGCATTGAATCTGTAGATTTCTTTGAGTAATATGGATATTTTAACAACATTGTCTTTCAATCAATAAACACAATATATCTTATCACTTATTTGTGTTTTTTCATTTTTCTCATAAATAGTATAGAGTTTTCATTGTAGAGCTATTTCACCTCAGTGTTTAAATTTATTTTTAAGCTTCTTTGTAGCTATTGTAAATCAGATTGTTTATTTGATATTTTTTCAGGGAGTTCATGTTAGTGCATAGAAACACTATTGATTTCCATTATGTTGATTTATATCCTGAAACTTCACTGAATTTGCTTGTTAGTTCTAATAGTTTTTTGGTGGGGTCTTTAGAGTTTTCTGTATATATTAATAAGATCACGTTGTATGCACACAGAGACATTTTAACTTCTTCGTTTCCAATTTGGATGCCTTTTCTTTCTTTCTCTTGCCTGATTGCTCTGGCTAGAACTTTCAGTACTATGTTGAATGGAAGTGATGAAAGTGGGCTTCCTTGTTTTTTTCCCAGATCTTTGAGAAAAAGCTTTCAACATTTCCCCATTCGGTACGATGTTGGCTGTGGATTTGTTATATATGGCCTTTACTGTATTGATGTACGTTCCTTCAATACTGAATTTGTTGAGAGTTTTTATCATGAAGGAATATTGAATTTTCAAATACTTTTTCTGTATCTATTGAAATGATCATATAGCATTTGTTTTTGGTTCTGTTACTGTGATGTATCATGTATATTGATTTGATTATGTTGAACCACTTTTGCATCTCTGGGATGAATCCCACTTGATCCTGGCGAAGTAAATTTTAATAGGCTGTGGAATTTGGTTTGCGAGTATTTTGCTGAGAATTATTCCGTCTATGTTCATCAGGGACATTGGAGGGATATTTTCCAGTAATTTCCTCCTTTTAGTTGTGTCCTTGCCAAGTTTTGGTATCATGGTAATGCTAGAATAATAAAATGAATCTGGAAGTATTCCTTTCTCTTTAACATTTAGGAAGAGTTTGATACGAATTTTTATTAGTTCTTTAAATACTTGGTAGAATTCAACAGCAAAGACATCCAGTCTTAGCTTCTTCTTTGATGGGAGATATTTTATTATTAGTTCAATATCTTTACTCAGATTTCCTTTTATTCATAATTCAATTTTTGTAGGTTATGTGTATCTAACGCTTTATCATTTATTATGGGTTATTTCATTTTTGAGTGTATAATTATTCAAAATACTATCTTACGATCTTTTGTATTTCTGCTTTATCAATTATCATGTCTTCCTTTTCATCTCTGATTCTGTTTATTTGAGTCTTCTCTCTTGCTTTTCTTTTTATCCAACTAAAGTTTTGTGTTTTTTTATGTTTTCAAGAAGACATATATGATTTTTGTTGATCTTTCTATTGATTTTATTGTCTCCATTTCATTTATTTGTGCTCTTAACTTTATTGTTCCCTTCCTGTTATTAATTTTGGTCTTACTTTGTTCTTGTTTTTCCAGTTCCTTGAGAAGTAACATTAGGTTGCTTGTTTAACATCATTTTCTTTTTTGACTTGGGTATTTATTGCTACAAACTTCCCTCTTAGTACTGCTTTTGCTGTATCTCGTATGTTATTTTATGTGGTGTTCAAGTTTTCAATTTTCTAAAAATTATTTAGTTTCCCTTTTAATTTATTTATTGGCCCATTCTTTTTCAGGAACATGTTGTATAATTTCTGCATATTTATAAATTTTCTGATATTTCTCCTATTATTGATTTCTAGTGTTAGAAATGTTGTCATCAGAAAAGATGCTTGACATAATTTCAATCTTCCTGAATATATTAAGAATTGTGCTTTTGCCTAATGTACGATCTATCCTAGAGAATGTCCCATGTGCATTTAAGAAGAATATGTATTCTGCAGCTATTAGATGGAATGCAGTTATTTATTGCAACAATTTTTAGGATAAGATAAAATAAAAGCATGCCAGGACTTTTTTGGAGGGAAGAGTGGTGAAAATGAGGATAATAAAAAAGGACAAAGGCTACAATAGATTGGTGGTGAACTATAAATGCATTTTTTGGTAATTGATTTTCCCTAAATGAATTGGTATGAGTTTACCATGCATTTATTGGTTCTTGATAGAGCTGGATTTTTGTTACTGACTATAATAACAAACTTTATTTCAGTTGATTTCTAGGCCAGTGCATTTAGTACTATTTTCCAATTCAATTAGACATTTATTAGTCTTCTTTGATAATATCAATAATTTTCTTTAATAAGAATTTTATTGCAAAGAAATAAATATGATTATTTACCAAATATACTTACACGTCTATTTTCTTCCAGTTGTTTCACAAGAATTATTGACTAATAATATGATCTAACATAATCTATCAGAAAGATTTAGTATGCATTTGGGGTTGACATAGTTCCTCTCTCATGAATGACTTCAAAGCCTCAATGGTTCCATTTCTTAATATTCAGTAATGTGGTTTCCATTTTAACTCATCTTATGGCATTGCCTGTGCTGTGTTCTTTAAGTCAAATACAATTTCTTACTTCAGGTGTCATTTACTTAACTTCACTTGATATTTTATAATGCTTATCAGTCATCTCAGCTAATTCTTTGCCACTTTACTTTTTAATATATTTTCAACTTCTGTGTTTTCATCTAACTGTATCTTTCTTTTGTTTCCTTTAGTCATATCTCTTCATTTTCCATTCTCTGACTGAGATATTTCTTTCTTGCAGCAAAGTCCTTTTATTTCTCTAAATAAAAGGAGTCTTCCTTTTAAATTTGCCCCACATATCTAACAATGTAACTCATATTTACTTGGATATCATGTAATTAATTCAGCCACAACATACATAACATTTATGATACACACCTTCATGTCTACCATCAGATTAGTTCCTTTTCTGCATTTTACCTCTTCTGAAAATGTACAGAGATATCTTAACCTTGTTTTCCTAAGAAAAAAATATACTTTTTTATCATTTTTGCATCTCAATATGAGATGTATTTTAACTTACAATATATAAAGCTGTTCTTACACATTTTTTTCTGCTGATCTTTCTGACAAAAACAATCTGTATTGTACAGCAAGATCAAATGATTGTTTTACAAGGTCAACATATTTATAAGTATTTTATTATCCACATATTTAGATCTTTACCTTCTCAAAAGACAAAGTACAATTATGTTTTGTTAAAATGGAAAAGAAATAGAACTGAAAGGATTACAAGACTTCATTCATTCACAGGAAAAACAGATCATGCAATAGAAAAAGTTGAGATAAGTTTTAAAAGAGAAACTCTAATGTTTGGTTGAGATGAAGATCAAAAACTACAAGACAGTGGGGAGGAGAGAGAAAAAGTAGAATGCACACATACTTCAGGAGATGCAGGTAAAAGAAAGGAGATTAAGCCATATTTAGGCATCTGCTTTTTAGTATTAGATACAAATAGAAGGGAGACAGCTATTCTTCTTTAATTTGGGGAAACTGATGCAAAAAACCTAACAAATTCATTAAAATATTTTTTCACATGAGAATCTGTTCTTGAAACTCTGAAGAGATTTATGTTTGTTTGTTTGTTTCCCCTGAATCCATAATTCTGAGGAAAATTGTTTAGAAGCACAAGAAAATATAATTTTTATGTGAGAATTTAATTTTTAACATTTAACAGGAGAATGTTACTCATTCAAAGGCATCCACTGATATCAAGTCAATAGCAAGATCAGGACACATTGATGCACAGCCAAAGGTTAAGTTAAGCATTTCTGAGACCAGGGCAGGACCAAACATGAAAGAAATGTTCATGAACTAATCAGTGAGTCCCTCTTGTAGTTTTTGCCAAATTACAAGTTTGTGTTTGTGGCCCCCAACTTCTGTGAAAAGGGAGTCATTTTGCAAACAAAATATATTTTAATATGTTTACAGACACAGTATACATTGTACAAATGAGTGGTATTTTGAAAAATAACAGGTGTTTTAAGAAATTTTGGCCTGCCTTTGTCAATCAACAAGGAAATTTGAAGGTGAAGTTATTACCTGATGATATTTGCTGGCATTTTCCAATGCATTAACTATTGGCCACAGTCCATTGCAGGTACAATTAAATTTAATACTCCTTATGTTATAAGCAATTTTTAGATGTCTATAATAATGAATAAAAAGTTTAAAAATACTAGAAGTATTTTAATAATGACTATGGCTTTGGGATTCTACAGAATTTCCAGGAATTCTGATTTCTCATTTTCAAATTCCAAAGACTAATAATATTTGTCAGTAGTTAGAAAAGAATTTTAGTACATTATAATGTATATATTTCTAGATTATTGAGATTGACTCTGTCAATGTACATTGATTTCTGTAGATTAGAAGACTCCAACAAACTCTGAAATCAAGTTTAGAGAGTTACTACATAAAACGTAACAATATTCTACCCGTTCTTCTTTCACTGTGCTTTAGAATTTTTCTCCTCTACATCTGCTGAAGATTTCATCATTTTCCTCTAGTCTCTAACTCCTCTGTTCAGCACTACTTACCTTCTTTAGGCTATCGTCCAAAATTAGCTATTTTTTCTTTATTCCTCTCCTTTTAATTTTTTTAATGGTTACGTTAGTCCCCTACTGTTAAAAATATTCATATAATTCCTACTGCTTTATCTAAGAACTGTCTGCCTCACTTCTGCTTTTCAAATCCGATGTAAAATATCTCTTATAGACCACAAAAATTTGAAACAATTCAAAGATGGAAACTGGTAAATGGAACTCTTTTGTATGGTGTTAACACCATACAGACAATATCACAATCCGATATTATTAACTTGTTATTGTTATATACAACTTTTATCAAACAACTTATGTTGAAGAAATATATTCCCAAAATCATGCCTGTTACTAACAAAATACATCTATTCCTCATAGAGCTGGGAACACAGTAACCCTCTCTCCATATAGGATGAAAAGCGATTGTTTCAATGTCGGGTGAGATTTTTTTTTTTTTTCTAGCTGGATGAAATTCCTCTTTTGATATCATATGTCTTAATACTGACATATATGATTATCTACTTTTAAAAATCATGTGATGGAGAAAAGGAAAGAAGAGAAAAAATAACTAGTATACACATACATTCACTTCAAAAGAAGTAAGAAATATTATTCCACTGCAGTTCTCATTTCTGAATTGGGCCACACAGTTGTAGCTAATTGTGAATCTTTGTTTTGTAAACTCAAAACAAGAAACTCAACCTGATCTAGCTTATGTTCTTTTCATACCTTGCCCCCAATATTGGGATCCATCTTCACAAATAATCTATAGGTTTTTGTTAGTATTAACAAAATAATGCAATTATATTTTTGTGCACCACACCTGCTTGTGTGGCATAATTTGTCCCTAGCTCTCAAAGATCTCTGTGACTTGAGTCTGGTGAAACCTAAGGAAGCAACAAGAGATGCAGGAGCATACTAGGACAAATAAGAGCCACCCAAAGATGTCCAGGCTCTAATGCCTGGAACCTGTGAGTATGTCACTTTGCCTGGCAAAAGTGACTTTGCAAATGTGACTAAATTAAGAATCTTCAGAAGGAAGGTTGTCTTCGATTTTCTGGGTTGGCCTATTATAATCACAAAGGTCTTAATAAGAAGACGGTAGAAAGGCCAGTGTGAGAGAAGGAGATGTGGTGATGGAAACAATCAGCAAGAGGTTGGAAAACCTCGTAATTCTGGCTCTAAACACAGAGGATAGGGCCGGGCCCAGTGGCTCACGCCTATAAACCCAACAATTTAGGAGGCCAAGGTGGGTGGATTACTTAAGGTCAGGAGTTTGAGACCAGCCTGGACAACATGGTGAAATCCCGTCTCTACTAAAAATACAAAACTTAGCTGGGCATGGTGGCACATGCCTGTCATCCCAGCTACTCAGGAGGCTGAGGCAGGAGAATTGCATGAACCCAGGAGGTGGAGTTTGCAGTGAGCTGAGATCGCGCCACTGCACTCCAGCCTGGATGACAAAGCAAGACTTCATTTCAAAAAAATAAATAAATAAATAAAAATAAAAAAGGAGGATAGGGTCATGAGACAAGGAATGTGAGCAGCCTCTAGGAGGTGGAAAATGTAAGGAAATAAATTCTCTCCTAGAGCTCCCAGAAGACATGGAGACCTGCTGAGATACATAGATTTTAGCCAAATAGGACCCATTTTGAACTCTGACTTCTAAGACTATAAGATGATAAATTTGTATTGTTTTAAGTCACTGAGTTTGTTGTAATTTGTTACTGAAGCCATAGGAAACTAATGAGGGGATAAATCCTGCAAAGGATCATCAGTGTTTTACAAAGCAATTATTTTACGGAAAGTTATTATATTTTTTTTTGCAGACAAAGGAAGATTAAGATCATAGAGGGTAATCATCAAAGAGATGCTTTAACTGGTGAAATAAAATCAGAATAGTTTATAAGCTTAAGTTCTTTGGTTTCATTTGAATTTACCTACATACCCATCCCATTTTTCAAGGCTTTACTCTTATAAAATTAATGCTCTATTTTAACGTAAGAGACCTTAAGCATTTTGAAATTCCTTTTGTGCTATAGCTCAGACCCAAACAGGATTAGATTCTGGATTTTGTTTTCAGGAACCCCTAACATGCAAGAGCTGAGGGTTTCTCTTTATGTATTCACAGGAGCAAAATCTGGGGCTTTGTAGTTAAAGCCATGAACTCATTATTTTATACCCCAAGTCTTTTATTGTATTTTGAAGCAATCATCTAACCCCATTGTATCTTTTATTGCCATCATTTTTTTTTCAAATTTAGGAAAAAGGTCTCACTTTTTTACCCAAGCTGGATTGCAGTGGCATGATCACAGCTCACTGTAAACTCAAATTCCTGGGCTCAAAGGATCCTTCTGCCTCAGCCTCCCAAAGTGCCAGACTACAGGCGACAGCCATTATACCCAGCACCATATCCTTTTATATAACCTATCAACTTATCACCTGATAACTTGCCTTTTATGCACAAGTAATTACCAATGTCAAAAAGTAGTATTTTAAGTCATTGTTTTGACACTTTCTAAGTTTTGCCATTCTGTGAACTACTAGCACTCCCTTTACCCTCAGAAATACTGTCATAATGTCTTAAAATTGAATCATACAAGATAAGTCATTTCAGATAAATCATATCCAAATCCAATAAGCCATTCTTAAGGTTCTGTTCCTCTAGACACACTTCTGGTTCTAAATTCCATATCAGTGCATTAATTAGAAAAGCAAAACTCACTATAGAGTACATATGAAAGGATTTACTACAGACATCATGAGGGATGACTACAAAGTTTAGGTAGGACTGTTGCTTCTATATCTGGATCTATATCCTAAGGTTAGAAGGGCATTAATATGGTTAGGCTTTGTGTCCCCACCCAAATCTCATCTAGAATTGTAATTCCCAGGTGTTTAGGGAGAGACCTGGAAGGAAGCAGTTGGATTATGGCGGAGGTTTCCTCCATGCTGTTCTTGTGATGGTGAGTGAGTTCTCACAAAATGTGATGATTTTACAAGGCAGTTTTCCCTGCTCTTTCTTGCTTATCTTTCCTGCTGTCTTGTGAAGAAGGTACCTGCTTCCCCTTCTGCCATGATTGTAAGTTTCCTGAAGACTCCCCAGCCATGCTAAACGGAGAGCCAATTAAACCTCTTTCCTTTATAAATTACCCAGTCTAGGGTTGATATGATTTTGCTCTGTCTCCTCACCCAAATCTTATCTTGTAGTTCCCATAATTCCAACATGTCGTGGGAGGGACCTGGTGGGAGATAATTGAATCATGGGGGTGGTTCCCCCGTACTGTTCTCGTGGTAGTGAATGAGTCTCACGAAATCTGATTTTTTTTTAAAAGAGAGTTTTCCTGCACAAGCTCTCTTTCCCTGCTGCCATCTGTGTAAGGCATGACTTGCTTCTCCTTGCTTTCTGCCAAGATTGTGAGGCCTCCCCAGCCTTGTGGAGGGGGAGTCCATTAAACCTCTTTTTTTTTGTAAATAGGCAAGTCTCGGGTATGTTTTATCAGCAGCATGAAAATGAACTAATACAGTAAATTGGTACCAGTAGAGTGGGGCACTCCTGAAAAGATACCTGAAAATGTGGAAGTAACTTTGGAACTGGATAACAGGCAGAGGTTGGAACACTTTGGAGGGCTCAGAAGACAATAGAAAAATGAGGGAAAGTTTGGAATTCCCTAGAGACTTGTTGAATGACTTTAACAAAAATGCTGATAATGATATGGACAATGAAATCCAGGCTGAGGTGGTCTCAGATGGAGATGTGGAACTTGTTGGGAACTTGTTGGGAACTGGTGACTCTTGTTGTTTTTTCAAAGGGATTGGTGGTATTTTGCCCCTGCCCTGGAGATTTGCAGAACTTTGAACTTGAGAGAGATGATTTAGGGTATCTGGCAGAAGAAATTTCTAAGCAGCAAAATATTCAAGAGGTGACTTGGTTGCTGTTAAAGGCATTCAGTTTTAAAAGGGAAACAGAGCATAAACAGAGCATAAAAGTTTTGAAAATTTGCAGCCTGGCAATGTGATAGAAAATAAAATCTCATTTTCTGAGGGGAAATTTAAGCTAACTGCAGAAATTTGCATAAGTAACAAGGAGCCAAATGTTAATCACCAAGACAATGGGGAAAATGTCTCCAGGCCATGTCAGAGGTCTTCACAGCAGCCCCTCCCATCACAGGCCCATAGTTTTAGGAGGAAAACATGGTTTTATAGGTTGGGCCCTGGGTCCCTGTGCTGTGTGCAGCCTAGGGACTTGGTTCCCTGCATTGAGTGGCTTCAGCTGTGACTAAAAGGGGACAAGGTACAGCTTGGGCTGTTGCTTCAGAGGGTGGAAGCCCCAAGCCTCGGCTGCTTCCACATGGTTTAGAGCTTGCGGGTGAACAGTAGTCAAGAATTGAGATTTGGGAACCTCCGCCTAGATTTCAGAGGATGTACAGAAACACCTGGATGCCCAGGCAGTTTGCTGCAGGGGCAGGACCCTCTTGGAGAATCTTTGCTAGTGCAGTGTGGGAGGGATACATGGGGTCAGAGGCCCCAAAGAGAGTCCCTCCTGGTGCACTGTCTAGTGCTTTGCAGGGTATAGCCCCTCTCCTGGCTGCTTTTATGGGCTGGTGATGAGTGGCTGTAGCTTTTCCAGGTGCACAGTGAAAGCTGTGTGTTGATCTACCATTCTGGAGTCTGGAGGATGGTGGCCTTCTTCTCAGAGCTCCCATGTGTTGTGGGAGAAACCCAGTGGGAGACAATTGAATCATGGGGGTGTTTTCCCTCATACTATTCTCATGGTAGTGAGTAAGTCTCAAGTGATCTGATGGTTTTAAAAAGGGGAGTTTCCCTGCACAAGCTCTCTTGCCCTGCTGCCATCCATATAAGACATGGCTTGCTCCTCCTTGCCTACTGCCATGATTGTGAGGCCTTGACAGCCATGTAGAATGGTAAGTCCATTAAACCTCTTTCTTTTGTGTAGTGTCTACTCTTGGGTATGTCTTTATCAGCAGCATAAAAATGGACTAATACAAGGGTATTTCTTTATAACAGTGTGAAAACAAACTAATATAGGCTATCAGGAAGAAAAGATGAACATGAAGTAGACGAAGCACAGAAAAACCAGAACCAGTGAAGATGTACTGTAACCCACAAGGAAAGCCTGTCTCAGTCTCTCATTGTCTGGATTCCTTTCAACTTCAGTGATCAAGGTGTTTGTTCTAAATGACAGGCTAATGCCTTTCACCATAAAGCAAAACACATACTTGGACCAGGATTTGAAAAATCTTAAGGAAGAAATCCACCACGAGCTAAAGCTTTGGTCCTGGTTGCTGCCTCAATCCAGCAGCAGATAGCAGTTAAGGGATAATTAGCTGGTAAGCAATGACTCCAGTGCCCTCCCCTGACTTTATTAGTATAAAAGTCTGGGTCTGCTGTTTCACCTCCACCTTTAGTATCTTGAATAAAATCACTGTGGTCTAGAATAATTTGAGTTGACTCAAATACAAATTCACAATAGTATCCAAAATATTTCAAGCCAGTATGGCCACTGCTATTTACTATTCACAGTAGATAGATGCCACAGAGTTGAGATAGTGTCTTCAAGACCACCTATTTTACCGAGAAGTAAGCCTTTAGTTGTAGGAAGTTTGAGGGCCTGGGGTAAACTCTGGGTGTTGGAGAAGGGCACTTGTAGAAGGGTTGGGCAGTGGCTATTAAGAAAGTCACCTGTCAGTTTTTCAAATGCTAACAACAGTATGATTATACTATTGGCATGCTGTCAGCTGTGACAATTCAGCAAACATGCTTTGAATGCAGGATGAATGAACATTTTAATGATTCTGTTGTTCAGCAGAATAAGTGAATTTGCTCTCCATTGCATTCTTGAAATAATTCATAATCCTTATTCCTTTTAAACTCACAGTTTAGTGTACTATTTTAAGTATCGCTTTTCACAGATTTAAAATTAATTTGCATTTTATTGTAGTCAATATATATTTAGACTCTCAAGATCACAAATTCAATGGTAATTTGACTATGTGAATGTATTAATTAGTTTACTTAATTGGTATTTCAAATGCAGATATAGATTGCAACTATCAGAGAGATGATGTGAAGAATCTCAAAATATATAATTCCTTAATGCATTTTATGCTAATTTTTGTTTGTCTAGTTATATTGTAAAAGGTTAAAAAATTCAGTATTCTTTTGCTATATGTTAGAAATTTTATTCATATTTACAAATTTAATTTTATATTTTTAGGGTTAAACGTAGTAATTTGACCATTTTATATAAGAATAATATTTATACATTTTATAATCTCACAATAATATTTACAGAAGAAAACAACTCAATATATTTTGTTTTTCAAATAAGTGTCTCAATTCATTCTTGTAATTTACTATTTTTAATAGTAGCCTAAATATTGTTATTTTTTCTAAATTTGAGTTTGATATTTACACTGTATAACATTGAAAGATACAAAACTTTCTCAGGAGGTAAGTAAAGACTATTTGACCCTTAAATCTCATTTTCTTTCCAGAACTCTAGGGAACCCAGCTCATTATTTCTTCAATTCTAATACTAATAGTATTTTTCCGAGTGTGTAAAATACTTGTTAATACATAAATATATTTCCATTTTATAATGTATTTTGACTTTAGCCAATCTGATTTTAATATATGCAGTAGTACTAAGTTACAAAAAATAAACTTGCAATCAATTGTGTGATTTATAGTGATGTTCTTCAGATCTTTCTAATAGGTTATGTTTTAAATAATTCACTGATTTCTAAGATGAAGTTGATTTCATCATAAAAGTTATGTTCAGCCTATTAAAAAAGTGTGTGCATTGGGATAGAAATAGTCATGAGAACTCATCTGGGAAGCCCATGAACTGTGTCACTTAAAGTGAGAAAAACTGTGGTTGATGTGTTTGATGATTGCCATAACATATTTCACCTTTCCACATTCAAAGATAGTGTTATTATTTATGTACCAGGGAATAATTACTTATATATCCCAGAAATTTTTTATGAATTTTACATACTTACATATTTACTCATTTGTAGTATGGGCCCTTTGTACTCTCATGAAAGTAATTTATTAATTCATTTATTCACCACTGGCTGGTTGTTGGTGACTAATCTCTCAGGCAAGATACCTTCTATATAGGATGGTTCTTACTGGAGGAGTAAGCCATTATGCAATTATAAATCATCACCATACACTTTTTACAACAGTTGGAGGATAGATGAACCAGCCTCAACAGGAGATCTGGGCATGGTCACTACAGCATTCACTATATCAACCCTTGACCTTGCTCAGATTTATTTACTATTTATCTTGTTTACTATATTCAGACAGAGATTCAGCAGAGTTATTTTCAGTCACAACTTGCAGAAAAAAAATAAACTTATGAGATGTGAATTGATGAGATTAAGTAATCTTCTCAACAGCAGTTGAACTTGAGTTCAAAATGATATTCATCATGCCCTTTCTCTGTCACTCATTCATGACTCCCTACCCTTCCACCAAGCCAATATTTCTTTAACTGAAGAGGTTTGCCTGGAGTGATAACACAGCATCTTATTCTAATGGTTTCTATGTCTATTTCCCCTTTAAAGTTGTGCATGTGCATCAAGAGATACACATGTGAATGACTCAAATGCCAAATATATTTATACTTGTACCTATTAAATAATTACCACACATCCTTATGATGATCAGGTTCCATTAGTCTTGCTAATATGGAAATTTGTTTCTGCGCTTTCTGTTACAAGGATGTGAGAAATCGTCCAGACAACGCTGCAGCCATACATTTAAATTTACTGGTACTCTTGCACTATCCCCTGGAGAAATGGGTTCATCTGAGACCTGAGCTTTTTGGATAAAACAGTCTATATTTGTTGGAATTGAGAAACAAAAAATTTCTAAATGTGTCATTGACAGTAATGCAGAATAGAGCCATGCTTACTTCTGATTTATTGGTTCCAAGAATCATGTATGTAATTTCTCTGTGTTGGAACACACACAGTGGAACTTGCGTACTAATGTTCACCTGCCTAGTAGATGGTGGATGCTGTCTATTGTGAAAGGCAGGTCAATTGGTCAGAAGTTATAGTTGTGGGGTTTAATAACAGTAGATCAGATAAATCTGTGATTCCCTCAAGCAGAAGTGCTTAATGAAGTCCTCTAGGCAAAGAAGGCAAACCAATATCTGCACTGTGCATCAACTCAAGTAAGGAGGAATCATTGTCTGATGTAATCAGCTTGTAACCAAGTTGCTAATATTATTCTCAAGGAATGTTCCTACTCTTGTGTCTTTACAAGTCTTTGAAGGTGGCATTAATATGCCATTGTCTCTGAGACATAATTTTGGTTTTGATTTTCTACCCCAATGGTGACAACGTAGCCTTAAATTATTTTATTTGGATTTTCCTACCACAATACATCATATTCTAAAGGGCAAATATATCAATATGAGGACTTTGCCAATTGCTAACATTCTTCACTCCATTTATATATTCATGAATTCGAGGAATAACCAATTGAGCTAAAGAGTGTCATTCAGACTAAAGGCTTTATCACTTCCCAGGACAAACCAAATGCATTGACTGATTAATGCTAAGATATAACAGCTGGTATGGACTTAGTAGTGCCCTATCTCCCCCCAAAGCCTATTTGCTGAAGACCTAACTCCTAGTGTGACTGTATCTGGAGACAGGGCTTTTAAGACGGTAATAACAGTGACATGAGATCATAAAGGTGGGGCCCTAATCCAACAGGACTGGTGTATTTGTAAGAATAGAATAAGATACCAGTGATGTATGCAAACAGAATAAAGACCATGTGAAGACACAGTGAGAAGATGCCCATCTACAAGCCAAGAGGAGAGGCCTCAGGAGAAAGGAACTTTGCTGGTACCTCGATCTTGGTTTTTAAGACTCCACAACTGTAAGAAAATTAATTTTTGTTTAAGCCAACCAGTCTGTGTAGTTTTATTATGACAGCTTGAGAAGACTAATACAATAGCCCGGCATTTCTTGGCTCCAACTTTGGAGTACTTTGATGGGTTATCCCATTTTCAGAGATCCTCAAAGGGGCAGTAGATGCCTTGGAGTGATTACAACAGGTGGTATTAGTTATTGCTGACTAATTCTTCCTTCTGCCAAATTCAGCTTGCTTTCTTCTCCTCTCCTCTGTTCCAAAGTTGTTGATCCCACACATCCCCTAATAAACTTTCAACATGTGAATCCCTTTACACTCAACTGAGTAGGAACCCAGCCTTCAGCATTTCCCTTGTATATGTTTGCCTCCTTGTGGGTAAAGGTGTTAACAATAATACTGCTACAGCATGCCAGGCACTAAGTCCTGGTACCAGCTATTTTAGGTTAATTTCCTTAGAAACACCCCAGAGTCTGAGAGGGACATTCTTGCTAAAGTGATTGAGAGAATGCTTTCCAGACACTGGAAGTACAGGAAGCAGGAGAGAGTAGGGTAACAAAGCTAACCATGAATGGGCCTTTGGCTGGAGACTAAATTTAGCCCCCTCCCTCTATAATATCTGAAGCACAAGTTCAACCACAGAGATGGCTCCAATTGAGGTAATTGAGCCTGTCATTTCATCAGTTAGTCAGTGACCACAAGCTACCATTTTGGGTAAGGTGCTCCTATTCAGTCATTCATTCAAGAGAAGTAATCAACTGTGAGTTTTGGTAGCCATCACTCCCAGAGGCTAGCAGGTTGGCGTACATGTCTGGTGAAGGGGTCTTGGGGAGAGTACCTTTAGCAATCACTGTGTCACATAAAGCAGTGATAGCAAGCATAATGTAAAAAAGATGTTCAAAATAGCACATTTAGTGTAAAAAATATCTTGACAGCAATCTAAGTGTAGGAACTAATTGCATGTATAAATGCATAACATTTATATCAAATTTGTTGATATAGATATTGCTATTTAAGAAATACATTAAAATACATAATTATATAAAATGTTAAGAGTAAATTCAGAAGTATATATTATTTAATGAAAAATTACATATCTTAGATATCAATATCTAACAAATGTATTGATTAAAATAATATATTAAAAATGTTTTCAAAGCTGAACCAAAAGTAACAAATTTCATCTGTCACATCTGAAACCAAATTTTTTTAAAGATTGAAATTTAAGAAATAAAAATAACAAGGATATACAAAGAGCTTTATATTTTTGGAAGTCAAAAGAATCAAATCAACATGGAAGCAACTCATATATGGGCATAACAGAGAGCCCAGTAATATAAAGTGTTTAATATGATTAATCACGGGAAATACAATACTTATCTGAGAACGATGTATGTGTACAAATGAATATATATAAATTATTAAAAATATGTATTTCTAAAGTTAACTCATAAATTCAGAATTTTTATTAAAAATCTATTAGTTCTTTGAGAAATCTCCAAACTGTTCTCCACATTGGCTGAGCTAAATTACATTCCCAACAACAGTGTATAAGTGTTCCCTTTTCTCTGTAGCATTGCTAGTATCTGGTGTTTTTTGACTTTTTAATAATAGCAATTCAGACTATTGTGGACAATATCTCATTGTAATTTTGTTTTGCATTTCTCTGATGATTAGTGATGATGAGCATTTTTCTTATATTTGTTGGCTGTTTGTATATCTTCTTTTGATAAGTGTCTGTTCATGTCCTTTGCCCATTTTTAAATGGGGTTATTTTATTTGGTTAAATTGTTTCAGCTCCTCATAGACTCTGGATATTAGATCTTCGTTGGATGCATAGTTTCAAATATTTTCTACCATTCTGTAGGTTGTCTGTTGACTGTGTTGATGGTTTCTTTTCCTGTGCAGAAGCTCTTTAGTTTAATTAGGTTCCACCTGTCAATTTTTGTTAAAGCAGAGCTACCATTTGACCCAGTAATCTCATTACTAGGTATATACCCAAAGGAATATAAATTATTCTTTTATAAAGACACATGCATGAATATGTTCATTGCAGCACTATTCAAAATAGCAAAGACATGGAATCTTCTCAGGTGCCTCCCAATGCTGGACTGGATTAAGAAACTGTAATGCATATACACCACGGAATACTAGACAGCCACAAAAAATGAAATAATGTCCTTTGCAGCAACGTGGATGAAGCTGGAGGTCATAATCTTAAGCATATTAATGCAAGAACAGAAAACCAAAAATCACATGTTCTTACTATAAGTGAGAGCTAAACATTGAGCACACAGTGTCATAAACCAGGGAACAATCAGCATTGCACAATACTTAAGGGGGGGAGAAGGGGAGTGTGAGTTGAAAATGTAACCTATTGGTTACTATGCTAACTGCCTGGCCTAGTTAAAATATGTAACAATCCTACACATGTGCCACCTGTATCTAAAATAAAAGCTGAAATTACAAAAAAAATTGGGACAACTAAAAAAAACTCCGTTGGAACTAAAAAGTTAGATCTGAAAAAGGCAACACAGTAAACCATATAATCATATTATGATATATTATTTGCATAGAATTATGATTGTCAATCTAAACAGGAAATAAGAGAATAACCTATAAAGAAATAAAAAATTAAATGTTAAAATAAATTTTGATAATCTCTGTAAAACAAAATTAAAAAGTAGAAAATATCTTTTGGAGACATATTTATAAACAGTAAACAAACATTAACTATAATCTATAAAGATAACAGTTCACACAAATCATTACAAATTACATAAAATTTAGCTAAAACAGAAAAACTGTTCTAAGTACAAGGTGATATTTCTCTTACAAAAACAATACATATAGCACATGAAACTGAATTAAAAAGTCTAAAGATAATTGGAAACAAAACAATTAACACAAGAAGTTGGAAAAACTCTAAGTTAATTTATGTTTTTGCTTTTAAATGGAATTGAAAAATCTCATACTGAGCTTAGTTGATCATTTGGTATTACCTTTCTGGAAAAAAATTTGAAATTTGAAATATAGTCTTCGAAAATCAACACAATTTTGAAATACTTGAATTAACTTGATATATATACAATTTAAAATGTGCATTTATATTTTATAAATATTACTCATTTTTAAAATGCATATTGATTTTTAAAGTTGTCTATTTTACAATTATACAGAATAGTAAACATCGAAAACAGTTCATAGTCCAATTGAAGAAAATTGAAACAATAGATTATGTAATATAAATTCAATAGCATATGAAACAGCCATGAAAGTAATCCTTTTGAAAAATATCTAATCCAATAGTAAAATAATTTATATTACAATTTGTAGAAAAAATTACTTATAAATAAAATCTACATTGTCTAAAAAATTGCATGTATCATCAATTAAAAATGTCTATATGTGTATGAATGCATTCAGTAGCAATGATTATCATTGGATACAGGTGAAGAAGTAATTATTTCTATGTGGTTCTTCTTTTTGCATTTTGCCAAATAATGACAGTATAAAAAAGAAACAGAATTCTCCAAATGGATAAATTAAAATAAAAATAATTAGTAAAACACCATTACAGTTACTTTTGTAAACATCGTCCTCATATCCTTCACAGACCTTATGAAAACCCATGTTTCCCATACAATTTAAGGCCAACATCTACCTCTGTGATTGAGGTTCTATATCCACAAATATTATCATTTTTCTGTATTCATTTTTCCCTACTCCCTTGGTTGTAAACTTGTTGAAGTGCCTTCTATAGCAAAGAAAAAAAGTCTTTTCCTTATCTTTTTTTTTTAAATTCAAACCCTTCTACAATTATTACTCAACTACAATAGCTCCCTGTGTGTTTATCTGCATTTATTTGATATTTTTCTTTAAGGATATTTTATTTTTTATGTAATATCACCATCTCCTATTTTTGCAACATCATCGTTGGCTGCTTTTTTCTACCTCTATTTCTTATTAGCACATTTTTACTTCTCTTATATGTTTACATGTTAAAGATTTGTTTATTTTTAATAGAAGAAACAAGCAAAAATTAAATTATTCCACATCTTATGCAACAATCACATGTGCCTATATTCATCTTATGCAGCCAACTTATTCAAACAGTCGTTCATCTTACTGCACCTATATTTTTATCACTCAATCTTCTCCCCACTTTAATTAGGACTCCACCTATCTTTCTACCACAAAACATTTGCTAAAATCACCAGTGACTTATGAGACACTGAATTCTATAACAGTTCATACAGCTGATCACACTCTCCTTGAAACCATCCTTCTTGGCTTTTTGGTTTACATCTTACATTATTGGCCTCTTCTTGATCTTTTTTCTTTCTTGTTTTGTTATCTTTTTTTGGTTACTTGAAATCTTGTCTATAGAATACAACTCTTCGGACCTCAATATTCTTCCCATAAGAAACACCATTTATCTCAGTAGATTTAATTTTCACCTTTATGAGATATCTTAAATTTATACTTCTAGCCAAACACTGTCATCTGAGCTTCAAACTCATATGTCTATCTCTCTGTATGATATTTCCACTTGGAAGTCACAATTCACTTTAAAAATAAAAAGTTCATAATAAAACGTGTACTTCCATTCCCCTATTTGTCTCCTGGTAGTGTTCCCCATCTTATTACATGACATGATCACAATTATTTAAGTTTAAGAACCTAGAAGCCAAATTCAACATTTTCCTGTTTCTATCCACTTTTATTCAAGCCAACAACATTTACTGGTTATTTTCTAAGTTAAATATCCCTTGAATTTGTCAATTTTTCCTATCTACACTCTATTTCCAGCTACTGTCACTCTATTTGAAATTTTGCATCCACTCGATGAGATAATTCAACCTATCTCAGTATATACAAAGATGACTCTAAGTATCTATCAAGTAGAGTCCTCTTATCAAAATTCAGATCTGTGTATATTGCTTTCTATTTAATACATCTTAACTATTTTATCAAAAAGCAGAATGTATTAAAACAGAAATTAAGACAGGAACATCACACACCAGGGCCTGTCATGGGGTGGGGGGAGGGGGGAGGGATAGCATTAGGAGATATACCTAATGTAAATGACGAGTTAATGGGTGCAGCACACCAACATGGCACATGCATACATATGTAACAAACCTGCACATAGTGCACATGTACCCTAGAACTTAAAGTATAAAAAAAAAAAAGACTAGACATTCTGACTTACCTACCTGCCTCATTCAAACTCTTTTTCATATTGATCTTGGTATTCCAGAACTATTACATTTACTTTGTTGTCTTGTATACTGCATGTTCCTTTTAGCACAGGGCCTTTACACATGCTGTCTTCTCTCAACCTGTAATTCCTTTTTTTTTTTTCTTTTTTTTTAAGATGGAGTCTCCTATAGCCCAGGCTGGAGTGCAGTGGTACAAGCTTGGCTCACTGCAACCTCCACCTCCCAAGTTCAAGCTTCTCCTGCCTCTGCCTCCTGAGTAGCTGAAATTACAGGCGTGTGTCACCACACAAGGCTAATTTTTATATTCTTAGTAGAGATGTGTTTTTGCCATGTTGGCCAGGCTGGTCTCAAACTCCTGACCTCAGATGATCCTCCTGCCTCTGCCTCCCAATGTACTGGGATTACAGGCGTGAGCCACTGCGCCAGGCCTCAACCTAGAATTCTTATACCCACTCCTCCATTAGTCGTGTTACTTCCTATTCTGTCTTTCATTTCAGCTTTATTAGGTAATCCTTCACTGAGCTCTCTAAGTATACATTTTCTTCACAATGCATTTTTTATAACACCAAAGCCTATTCTTTTAGAAACCTCATAAAGCATTTTAAATTTTATATTTATTTGTGAATTTTTTAAAATTAATAGTACTATCTTAGTAGATTTTATGCTACTATGGTCTACATAGTAGACACTATGCTAGTATGATTACATGGTCATAAATAGTTTTCAAAATTTTCCATTGCCTTTTAAAAGTGATTATATACTTAGTGTCAAAAAAATCTACAAATAGAATATTTTCTGTTAAATAGTTGTAAAATGAGTTAACAAATGAATAAATGAATGAATAATGTAAGTTCCATGACACGTACTAAATTTTTTATTATTCTCATGTATTTGCCGATATTTTATATACATTTTCATATTTTAATTTAGGTAGTGTAAAGTGCATACTAGAAAAAAACTATCAGACTTTCCTCTTTGTTTTAAACAATAATTTGTTAATCTTAGGCACAACTCATGTCAACTCTATTGAAAATTTGGGGGCATAGATATGAGAGCTCTATAGTTATAATTACATTCCTAGGTAAATAGAGTAACTGATATAGATTTTTCCAAAAATAGAGCTCCTTCATCTAACCACACACTCAGTATTGATTTAACAGCAGAAACTGTTATTTCCACATTAACTTTTAACTAGTGGCCCACTCAGTTGAAATGTTTTCTGTATAAGATATGTCTTTCCAATATTAATAATCAATATAAGAAAATAGAAATGTTAAAAGGTCAAAAGGAGCTCCATATTTGATTGTATTACTGCTCAGTTGAAAACACCTAAAGACATTAGTCAGTAGGATCAGCCCCAGAATAAATTAGTGAATTAACAAGGGATATGGTTATTCAGGGAATTTCATGAGATGATAATAAAATACTTGGGAAGTTTTAATGATTAATTTTTCCCCAAGGAAACCTGTGCTGAACATTCATTAAAAGTATTCTCTAACATCTCTTACACTTTTTATACTTCCTTGCAGTTATTCAAATGTGAATAATCACATTTCTAAAAATGTATGTAATGATACCTATATGAGGAGTTGTAGGAGTCATGCATGAAAAGATTACAAAAGGTGGCATTTCAAGGTTCCTTCAAAAAACAACCCCCTTTTGAATTAAAGTACATGTCACCTTATATTTTAGTATTATTCAAATAGAACATTTAATGAGAACATAATCATCTCTAGACATTTTCTTAGATACTATATTCTTTAATTTTTATAATAACCCTCCTTTACCATAGTCATAATTCATGAAAAGGAAACTGAGGATCAGAGGTGTTGAATGCATGTGTGGGTTTTAATGGCTAATTTGGTACTGAGCCAAGGTAAAATTAATTGACTCCGAACTCTAGTTATGTTTCATTTTGCTCTGTGATCCCTAGAATGTGGAGGTATTTTTTTCCACTTTGAGAAAAGATGAACTGTTAATACTCAGATGATTGTATCTGTGTGTCACACTGTGCATAATGACTAATAAAACTGCTTACATTTTAAATTATTCTCTGCCAGAAAGTTACCACTTAACCTGAGAAGAACACATTCATTTACATTCCAAGGGCAGTATGAGATTTGAATTAAACATAAGTGTACACAAGAACGGCATCCCATGGTGTTTTCTAGGAAGTCAGCTTCTAAGAACTTATTAACTCATATATTTTCTGGGCAGATAAATGGTAAATTAAATGCATTGTGCAGTCAATGGAAGGCTCCTGAACTGAGAACTAGGACGTTTACACCCTAGACTTAGTTACTGAGCTAACTTACTCTATTCTCTTGGATCAGTTGTCATTTCATGTTTCTTGGCCATATTCAAAAGTCTTTCACAATGAGGGGAGTAACTAGAGCATTTATTGGGTTGTTTTGAGCCTTAAAATAGTTTAGAAAGAGTAAAATAATTATAGAATTCTCCTCACAAAGATCATGATCCTTCTAGATTCCCCATCTCAGTTAACCAACCCACTTGGTCAGTCCTGAAGCCAGAAGACATTTTCATTGCATTCCTTTCCTGTGTATCCTATGGAATATTGAGACATTAACAGAGAAGGGTTTTCGGTGCAACATGGATTTCAGGGAACATGGAGTCACTCAGGCTTTTTTTATCACATGGACAAACTGTGGATTGCTCATCCTTAAAGGCTTTCTATTGCCCCGCTACTTGATATATTTCATAAAAGATGCATGAAGACGGTAGATTTTGTCAGCACTCGAATGACCTGGTGTATAGTATAGGGGGCATTCTCAGCTTGGGTGCCAGCTGCTCAGAAAGCTGCGTATAACCCTGGTAAAGGAGCTAGTGAGCAGAGCTCTGCGTTAGTGCCTATTTTCCCATAGCAAGCTGCAGCAGCTGCAGAGCTATCTTGGAAGTGAGTTTGTGGCCCTTTACTTCCTAACTTCATGTGTTTAAAGTTGCAAAAAGTTCTTTATTTTTCACTTCCAGAATGTGGCCTGAATTTGATCCAATCTATCATATCTACAATTATAATTTTAAACAAAGCCTACATGATTGCTCTATTTTTTCATAAGGCAAAAAGATTGATGCCAACTCATCCTGTCAGACTTAGACGGCCAGATTTCTCACTGAAATGCTAAGTTCACATTTTATTAATATCCTCTTTCACCATTCTGAAATAGCTACACTAGTCCATTTGTTCCCTGACTAAGGTATTTCCACCTAAATTTACACCTCTAATAATTATTATTATTTATTATTATTATTATTTTTTGAGATGGAGTCTCGCTCTGTCACCCAGGCTGGAGTGCGTGCCACAACCTTGGCTCAATGCAACCTCAGCCTCCCGGGTTTAAGCGATTCTCCTGCCTCAGCCTCCCGAGTAGCTGAGATTACAGGAGTGTGCTACCATGCAAAGATAATTCTTGTATTTTTAGTAGTGACGGGGTGTCACCATGTTGGCCAGGCTGGTCTAGAACTCCTGACCTCAAGTGATCTGCCTGCCTTGGCCTCCCAAATGTTGGGATTACAGGCGTGAGCCACTGCGCCTGGCCTGTAAGTTTTCTCCTATCATCATTCATGTCTCAGCTCTGAGAAAATACTTCTCTGCACAGTTGTTTAAGGTTTCCCAACTGTCTGCCCCTCCCTAATTATCACAATGTATTACCTAATTACTTTTACTAATCACTGTCATATTATTATTTAATATTAATATTTTTATTTCCACTAGGCTGTATATTCCCCAAGAGAACACAAGACTGTGTCCTGTCCAATCATAAATTCCAAATAAATGCAATAAATAATAATTTTATGATAGAGTGAATAAGATGTAGAGAGTTGAAGGATGAATGAGAAGAGGAATAGAGAGGTAGCAAAGTAGGTCTAGAGATACCTGTGACACTTGGGACAATTGAGTTTTTCTTGATTAATGTTCATATTCATGTGTAATATATGTGTGACATATATCTTATGATCTCTACAGTCTCTTTGTATTCTAATCATACATCTTCATGTGTATCCACATATCATCAATATGCAAGAAGAAAATAACCTCATTAAGATTAAATTTATGAGAAAGTATAAAACACAGTAGGTTAATCTTGTTCATTTTTATTTCTGACTTACAAAAGGTGAAAAATGTGCATTCCCCAAAAGTGGTACAATCACTTCTATTTTTAGATAAAAATACTCAAACACTAGGCTGGCTTTTGTTTTATTATTAGGCAAAACTTTTAGATGAGAAATAGTCTGCTTTGCTGTGTTTTACACATCACAGTAGTTTATTCGCTGATCCAAGTTGGTTTAGACTTTTTGTAACCTTATTTGTTGCTGTAAAAAAACATATTGGAACTTGGCTTGTGAGTAGCAGAAATTATTTAGAATTACTCCCTTAAGAGAATGAGTTCTCAATAGAATGTTGTTTTGAAAAGATGAATAGTATCGAGGGAACACAGAAATCTTTATCGAGATATATTTTGTTTTGCTGTATTATAGTGCTGTGTTTTTTTTCCCAAGTGTTATTTAGAGTAATAGTCCAAAACTATCCCAAAACTTAGTTGAAATAAAGATAGAAAGAATAGGAAACTAATCCTGATAAAATTCCAAAGACAGAAATGCAAAGTAGTCAAAGGGGAAATATTAACTAAAATTGATAAAAGAAAAGAAAAGAAATTGATAAAATAATGTCACTTTAAGACATCAGAATAAAATGAAAGACAGATAGGTTTCAATTTAATGACTGCTTTGTGGCCTGTATGAAATACATTGATTTCTCAGTCAAACTTTTAATAGAAAATCATCTCTATTTCTAGATAAAGCTAAAATTTGAGTTAATAAAACACTACATGATAAAGAGTTCACAAAATGTTTTTCATTGAGCCAGCCATAAAAACAAAAGCATGATCATCAACTTCTGTTGATGATGACATAAACCATTGTTTATAGTCAACTCTTTTGACACACAGAAAAGGTAATTTCAAGATTTAAGTGTAATAGTGTTGTTCACACATTTTCCCCTTTAAATTTGTTGTTGAATTATTTTAGTCATCTATTTGTAAGGGTTATTTTAATGTCACAATTATATTCTGTCAGTTCATGGTGATTTTCAATATGATTTATGGTATCTTTTGATAAATAAAATTTCTGAATTTTAATGTAGTAATTTTTTATATTATGGCTTCTCTTATGAGCTATATTTTATTACAAATATATATGTAAATAAAGTTTTAATTTTTAGCAAAAATGACTTGAGATTTAACAGGAATCATATTGATTCTGTCATTACATTTTATTTGATATAAGTCTTTATGTGAATTAGCATGGTCTAGTGTTCCATTTATTTGAGTATTTCCAACTGTTTTTCTCTTGAAAATATTTATTGTTTTCTTCAAACAAGGCTTTTATAACTTGCATTAGAAATGTAACCTGAAGTTTAGCCTAGATTTCTCAAATCAGTGTCCATAAATCATATTTTCTAAATATTTATACTGTTATATGTAGACATACAATTGATTTTCCATTAAACATTTTATTAAAGGAAAACACACATAAAAAACAGAAACTGTAAGAAGAAAGAAAGATGAACCACCATGTATTACTTGTAAGAGGAAGTAAGATATTACCAGAAATGCAGATGTTCCCCCCATGCCTTCTAGGTCACAATGTAACAGTAATTTACGAAGGAAACTGTTATCGTGATTTCTAAACCAAAAGATATTTTTTTATGTATATGAAATCATATAGAGGCAATAACAGAGAGTAGATTATTTGACCTCTGATTTTCTTTGTTTAACACTATGCTTTGAATTTTATTCATGAATCACAAGTTTATATTTTTGATTATCACTATTCATTACAACAAATTTCATCACAATTTACTTGTTTGTTTTTCATGCTGATGGCAATTTCATTGGCTTTTAACTTTTGCCTACTAAAATTACTGTTGTTTAATATTCTTATATATATCTTTTAGTTTACATAAATGTTTGGATTATATATATGTTGAGAATATAAATTTAGGACTGCAAATTCAGGTTTATATGGTGTGGCACGCTCAATGCCAGTAGACAATGAAAGAATTTCAAAAGTGAGGGCCCCAATTTTCACACTCTTACAAGTGGTAAATGAAAGATCAAGTCTTTTCACATACTTCCCAGCATATGACTGTGTCAGTTTTGAAAATTCTTGCCTTTCTTATAGAAATGAAGTATTATCACATTGTGGTTAATTTCTGCCTCCCTAGATAATAAGATTGAGCACCTTCTAATGAGCTTACTGGTCATTTGGATTCCATAATACTGTAAATTACCTACTCAAGAAGTTTCCCATTATTTTTCTACTAGGCCCTCTTTTTCTTATTAGTGTCTGAGAATTTTTTATTTTATTTTATTTTATTTTATTATTATTCTACTTTAAGTTTTAGGGTACATGAGCATAATGTGCAGGTTAGTTACATATGTATACATGTGCCATGCTGGTGTGCTGCACCCATTAACTCGTCATTTAGCATTAGGTATATCTCCTAACGCTATCCCTCCCCCCTCCCCCCACCCCACAGCAGTCCCCAGAGTGTGATATTCCCCTTCCTGTGTCCATGGGTTCTCATTGTTCAATTCCCACCTATGAGTGAGAACATGCGGTGTTTGGTTTTTTGTTCTTGCGATAGTTTACTGAGAAAGATGATTTCCAATTTCATCCATGTCCCTACAAAGGACATGAACTCATCATTTTTTATGGCTGCATAGTATTCTGTGGAGAATTTTTAATATATTTAGAATATGTGCCTGTTTTGTTTTATATATGTTGCTAATATATTTCTTGACTGTAGTTTTAGATATCTGCACATCAGAGTGCATATATCTCTTGGATCATACTACTCACTTCCATTCTTTTGGAAATACATCTAAAAGTGGGATTGCTGATCATATGGTAGATTTACAGATTTTTGAAGAATCTTCATGCTGTTTTCCATAATGGCTTTATTAATCTACATTCCTACAACAATGTGCAAGGCTTCCCTTCTGTCCACATCCCTGCCAACTCTTTTAATATTCCTTTCATTTGACAACAGCCATTCTAACAGGAGTAAGGTGAATAATTCATCAGGGTTTTAGCTTGCACTTTCTTGATAATTTGTTGTTGAGCATTTTGTTAAACGACTGTCAGCTATTTTTATGTCTTCTTTTGAATGATGTCTATTCAGATCTTTTGCCCATTTTTAAAATTTGGTTGGTTTCTTGGTATGAATTGCTGGAATTTCTCATATATTTTGCTATTATCCCCTTATCAGATGTATAATTTGCAATTTTTTTCCATTCTGTTGTCTCTTCACTCTATTGATTGTTTTATTTGCTGTGCAGAAACTTTTTAGTTTGATGCAATTCTATAGTCTATTTTTGCTTTCATTGCCTATCCTTTTGAGGTCATATCAAAAAAAGTAATTGCCCAGACCATTAATTTGTGTGGATCAAATGAGATATGGTTCTAATTTCATTCTTCTGCAATTGGATACCCAGTTTTCCAGTGCCATTTCTTGAAGAGACTTAGGATATTTCTCTATTGTTTGTTCCTGGCACCTTTGTAGAAAATCAGTTGGCTGGAAATGTGTGAATTGGGCTATGTGTCTGTTTTTATACCAATGCCATGCTGTTTTAATTACCATATCTTTATTGCATACTTTGAAGTCAGGAAGTGCAATGTCTCTAGCTTTCTTCTTTTTACTTAAGATAATTTTGGCTATTTGGAGTCTTTTGTAGTTTCATACTAATTTTATGATTTTCATTTAATTTCTAGTTAACTTTTACTGTCATTACAATTTTGATAGAGATTACGTTGAATTTTTAGCTCATTTTGAGTAGATTGAACATTTTTATAATATTAAGAGTTCCAATCCATAACATAGGATACCTTTCCATTTATTTGTGTCTTCCTCAATTTCTTTCATCCATGTTGTAACCTTTTCAGTGTAGAGATCTCTCATCTCTTTAGTTGAATTTATTCCTAGATATTTTATTTTATTTTGGTAACGATTGTAAATGAGATTGTTTTCTTGGTTTCCTTTCATGATACTTTTCAAAAATAGTTTGTTTTTCGTGTATAACAATACGCCTTTTTTTTTTTTTTTTTTTTTTTTTTTTGAGACAGTCTCCCTCTGTCGCCCAGGCTGGAGTGGAGTGGCGAAATCTCATCTCGGCTCACTGCAAGCTCCACCTCCTGGGTTCATGCCATTCTCCTGCCTCAGCCTCCTGAGTAGCTGGGACTACAGAGTCCGCCACCATGCCTGGCTAATTTCTTGTATTTTTGGTAGAGACGGGGTTTTACCACATTAGCCAGGATGGTCTCGATCTTCTGACCTCGTGATCCACCCGCCTTGGCCTCCCAAAGCGCTGGGATTACAGACGTGAGCCACCACGCCCGACCCTAATTTTTTATGTTGATTTTGCATGCTACATTTTTACTGAATTTATTAATTCTAATAGTATTTTTGATGAAGTCTTCAGAGTTTTCTATATATATGATCATTTAATGTGCAAAAAGGGAGAATTTTTAGTCTTTTCCAATTTAGATGCCTTTTATTTTTTCTCTTGCCTAATTGCTCTGTCTAGGAATTCCACTATTACGTTGAATTGAAGTAACAAAAGTAAGCACCCGTGTTCTGTTTCTAATCTTAGAAGAAAAGTTTTCAACTTTTTCTAATAGTGCTTGATGTTAGATGAGGGTTTGTCATATGTAGCCTTTATGAGGTTGAGTTACATTCTTTCTATCATTAATTTTTTGCAAGTTTTTATCATGAACTTCTGCTAAATATTGTCAAATGCTGTTTCAGTATCTACTGAGATGATTCTTAGTTTTTGTTCTTCATTCTGGTAATGTGATATATTGCATTAAGAGATTTGTATACATGGAATCATCCCTGCATCCTTATGATTAATAGCACTTGATTATAGTGAATGATCTTTGAATAAGTGTTTGAATTTATTTTGCTAGTATTTACTTGAGGATTTTTGTACCTTTGTTCATCAGGGATACGGCCCTGTAGTTTTCTTTCTCCGTTGTGATCTTGTTGGAGTCAGGTTAATTCTGCCTTGATTTATTAGAAATCTTATCTGTTAGTGTATTTCCAATAAATGTCTTCTTCATAATTTTCCCGATTGCTGGTAATTTCTGCATTACCATATACATTTTAAAATCAGTTTGTAAAATTCTCTCCTTTACCACTTTTCCCCAGATTAGGCTTTCCTGGGATTCTCTTTGTCATTGCACTGAAAATCTCTTTCAATTTGGAGGAAATTGACATGTAGAGGATTAAATCTTGTAGTCTACAATGGGAGGTATTTCTCCATTTTATAATTTTATAAATGTTAAAAGGATAATATATTTTCATAGAGGATTCACATTTTTCTAAATTATCAATTTCAAAAAATTTTATGCAATTAATGTTATTTTAAATAATATTTTAAAATTTTATCTTCATAATTTGGGCTGGAATCAAGAAATTTTATTTTATAATAACTTTATATCTTATATATTTTTAATTTAGTTAGTAAATTTATTATCTGTAGTTTTTTTAGATTTATTGATGACAAAGTTATGTTTCTGATAAGAATTTTTTCTTTCTTTCAATTCTTGTACCATATTATGCCCTGAGTCCATGAACTGAATAGGAAACAGAGTATGATGTTTAATAAGAATGAAGCTAAGAAATGTTCCTGTCTCATTCCCAACTGAAGGAAAATTTTTAATATTGCACAATTAAAAACGATTAGTTGTATTTGTTTGCTTTTAGTAGAGACTTTTGATATATGTCCCTTTAGAATATAAAGTTGTTCTTTTACATTTATCATTGAATAATAGCTTTTTAAAATAAATCAAAGGTAAAAGTTATAGACATAGAGGTTCTAAAAAGTTTTGCTTGATATAGCTATACTTTTTAAATACATGTATGATTTAGATTTTCCACTTATTCCTGTGCTAATTTTGGTGTGTTATCCTAAAAATTTGGCATTGAATTATGTTTTCCAAATTTATATAAATAAAATTTCATTTATTTTTAATGTTTGTCATATCTGAAATAATGTTCCCCGTTCCATTATCATGTCGATTTGAACCTTCTCCCTTTTTAAATTATTTAAATTTGCTAGTATCTTGTTATTTGTATTAATCTTAAAAACAAACTATTTTACATTGTTGCTTTCAGAAAACTCTCACATGGTCTTCTTTCTTTTTCACTTTTCAAAAAATATTTTATCCTTGTTACTTGCTTATTTCTTTTTTTGTGTCTATTTTTCTTTTTAAGTTCTGAACATGGGATGCTAGTTTTTATCTTCTGAAATATTCAGATATTTGTATTAAAAGCTATATTGTTTCATTTCAATCTAATATAGCTGCATTTTGTCTTTTTGATATGCTTCATCAGTGCCATTTAATAAAATATATTATTCTATACATTGGACTTTTTCTTTTATTTGTGTTATAGTTTCTTGCTTAATTTCTTGTTTATTTGTGTTATAGTTTCTTGCTTAATTTCTAAAGTGTTGGGAATTTTTTGATCTAACTGTATTATCAATTACTGTCTTAGTTCCACTCTGGTTAGAGAACATATTTGGAATTATTCAATAGTTTGAAGTTTTTTGTGACTTGCTTTATGACCTAATAAGTGGTCTATTTCAGTAAATGTTCAAAGTGCCTTTGAAAATAAGTGTGTTGTATTTCTATATATGTAAATGCAGTGACATTTGCTAATCTTGTGGATCAAAACTTCTATACTACTCTTGCTTTTTATTTTCATGTTATGGATCGCTGAGCAATTGTTGAGAGAGAAATCACCATAATCTCTCATATTTCTCATATTTTGTTTTGTTTTTTTCAGCAAAGGCCCTGATTGCCTTTATTCTAGGTCATCATTTCAAGGATATCTGTATAGTGAACAGCCGTTGAAGATAAAGATGTATGTCTCTCTAGAATAAAACAGGTGGCTTATTTACTGTCCAGAATTATAAAGGTACTGTTTCTCTCTATGGCAAAGGTCCAGCAGGCTCACTGCCCCTTATTAAAGATATGAGTGCCCCCAGCCCTAGCTTCCTCTCTTTTATGCAATCCACCGTGTCTGCAGGATTACCAGGCCATTGTGTCACCATGTAAGAACTGGGATTTGGAAAACTAAAACAGAAATAATATTAAACTGGCAACTGCTATTGCTGCCAGTAGTAAACTGTCTTTTGTCTCTCATCCAGATATCTCATTTTCACTTTCTGAGACTTGTAAAGTCTCACATCCTTCACAATTCTTGATAGAAATGTATTTTGAAGATCTGACAACATATTTTTGGATTTATCTATTTCTTTAGTTATGTTAATTTTTGCTCTCTATTTTTTGACACTGCAATTGTATTTAGAAATTGGTAACTTTCAGTTAGATTAGCCCTTTTGAATTTGGGAAATGTCTCTTTTATATAGTAAGTCATATTGCCTAAAAAAAAGCCATTTATATAGTTAAGTCATATTGTCTAAAAGCTTATTTTGTCTAAACGTAGTATAGCTACAATGGCGTTTTAAAAATAGTGTTTAAATAGAAATTTGCTTTCAAATTCATTGTGTGTTCCAATTTTAAGTGGGTATTACATTAGTAACATAGTATCATTCTTATATTTAATTTGGCAATCATTTTTAGTAGGGAAATTGAATCTCTAAATCTCATATAATTACTGACATGTAATTATTTTTTCAATTTTACCTATTTTATGATCCATTATGTTTTTACTTTTCTTACTAGTTTCAAATTAATCACATATTTTAAATTATTGATTTTTTATTAGTAAATAATCATTTTAACAGCTTTATTGATGAATAATTGATAGACAATAAACTGTACATATTTAAAGTATACAACTTAACAAGTTTTTACATAGTTTACAGTTCAGAAACTATCATCACAATCAACATAATGAATATACCCTTTATCCTATAAAGTCTCTTTGTCCCTCCTCCCCATTGGAATCCCTCCTCACATATACCATTCTCCTGTCACCAGGCAATCAGTGATACACTTTCTTATAAGAATAAAATTATATAAAATAAACACTTTTTAGAGTTTATTTCATTCACCATAATTATTTTGATAATCCATTATTGGCATTGTACATAAAATAGTGCATTTCTTTTTAATCAGAGGTAGTAGATCATTCTATGAATCAATCACGATTTATCTATTTTTTTATTTGTTGTTTCCAGTTTGAGGCTATTACAAATAAGGCTACTATGGGCATTCATGTTCAAATCATTTTATGGGCATATGCCTTTTTTTAATCTTGCATCAATAATGAGGAATAGAGTGCCTAGATCTTATACTAGGTGAGTAACATTTTAATAAGCTGCAAAACTGTTTTCCAAAGCAGTTGTATCTTACAAGGAATGTACGAAAGCTCTATTTTCTCCACATCTTCATCAACACTGGATATAGGCAGTACTTTTAATTTTAGGTATTCAAATAGGCAGGAAGTAATATGTCATTGTGGTTTTAATTAGCTATTTTCTACTGACTAATGATGTTGAACATTTTTATGTGTTTATTTGGCATCCAGATATATATTTGGGGACAACATCTTACCAAACTGTATCTTCTTTATCTCCTTCTCTTCCTCCTCCTCCTCCTTCTTCTTCTCCTCCTCCTTCTCCTTCTTCTCCTTTTTTCTCCTCCTCCTCCTCCTTCTTCTTTTTCCTTCTCCTTCTTTCTTCTCTACTTCTCTTTTCTCCTCCTCCTCTTCCTCCTCCTTCTTCTTCTCCTCCTGTTCTTCCTTCTCCTTCTTCCTTCTCCTTCTTTCTTCTTCTCTACTTCTCTTCTTTCTCTTCTCTTCTCTTTTCTCTTCTCTCTTCTCTTTTCTTCTTCTTCTTCTTGTTCTTCTTCTTCTTCTTCTCCTCATCCTCCTTCTTCTTCTTCTCCTCCTCCTTCTTCTCCTTCTTTTCTCCCCCTCCTCCTCCTTCTTCTCCCTCTTCCTCTTCCTCCTCTTTTTCCTTCTCCTTCTCCTTCTCCTTCTTCTTCTTCTTCTTCAAGACAGAGTCTCACTCTGTTGTCCATGCTGGATTACAGTGACGTCATAATGACTTACTGCAGCCTTGAGCTCCTGAGCTCTAGCTATCCTTCTGCCTGAGCCTCCCGAGTAGCTAGGGTGACAGGCATGCACCACCATGCATTCTAATTTTTTTGTAGAGACTGGGGTCTCAGTATGTTGCTCAACCTGGTCTTGAGCTCCTGGCCTCAGGCAATCGTCTCTCCTCAGCCTCCCAGTGTTGGGATGACAGCCTTGAGCCCCTGCATTCAGCTTGCCACCTTCTTATTAAGTAAATATTTAGTTTTCTTTTTTTGTATACATAATCTGGATACAAGTCTTTTTTTTTGTAGGTTTTACATTCAGGTCTATGACCTATTGTCAGTACATTTTTTATATAGTGTGAAGTATAGATTAAAGCTTATTTTTTGCTAATAATATTGAATAACTCTGGTTTGATTTGTTGAAAAGATCCTCTAAATTGTCCTCTGAATTGTATTTGTAGCTTTTTCGAAATTAATTTAAAAAATATATATGTTTCGTTAGATATATTATGGAATTCAAAGATCAGTTTAAAAATGAAGTATTTATGAAATGAAAATTCTATACATGATATAATTAACTGCAATGGGCATTCATGTAAGCATAAAACATTCTTGTATATATAATTACATAAAATGTTATAAATGTATGTAAAAACGTATGTGTGTATATATAATTATAAAGGGTCCAAGAGGACATATGCAATTCTGTTAGTATTGATTACCTTTGGTATAAGTAATCTCAGAAAAACAAAATTGGGCATATTAGTTTATATATGACTTGTTAAGAATATAATACTTAAAAATATATTTTTGAAAAAAATACCATAGACATAGAATTGATTTACAACTGAACTAGGAAAACAGCATTTATATCACTAGTGATGGCTACTTGGCTGTTTTGTTGTTTTTTTTTTTTTTTTTTTTTTTTTGACTCTTGATCAACATAAGGAATGAAATTTATCATGCTCTGTTCAGGGTCTGAAACTCTCCTGGTAACCCATCTCCACCTGTGTTTTACTTGTATTTTGCAATTTGTCTAAGTAGTTTCACAAGCCTGTCTTTATTACCTATCTAAAGGGAATTATGAGCATCCCTACTGAGAGCTTCTCTGAACTCTTCGGAAACCTAGCTTCCTTGCACGGGTTTTGGCCATTCAAATAGATTCAGTCTGGCCCTTTGTGAGCCAAGTCGGCCTTGAATAATTTGGCTGGGATTTAACTGAGACTCAATCTAGGGCTGCATTCTCGTCTCCTAAATGCATTGCATGCTTTACCTTTAAATAAAAACCTTATGTTGGTGGAGTCTGCTAAGTTCTTTCCAATACGCAAATGGGGGAAAACAACACAAATATATTGATATATTTTCTTCTACAACACTTCATATTTTACAATTTTCACTTCTAAAAAGTGTTTTTTTCTTTATAACTATTATTTGGTTTACAGTATGAAGAGTATTTTAAGAAACTGTACAAGTTTTCCTTGCAAAAGGGAAGTGAAAATCTGTTTGTTTGTTTTGGATGACCTGGTGTACTTCAACCAAACATACCTAAGCACATCACAAATTACTAAAAAACACAAGAGGAAAAAAACTTTTGAAAATTGTCATAAAATGACACACCATCAACAGGGAAACAATTTGTGTGACTGCTGAATTATATCAAAATTGTGTGGCCCTAGATAGTGATAGAGCATCATTAAGATCCTGAAAGACAAAAAATATCACCCTGGAATTCCATATACAGTGAAAATACACTGTGTTACCCTACTATAAACACATACTTTCAGTTTTTCAAAAAATTCTAAAGGGCTGTGTAAGTATAGAGGAAACAAAATTCTGTCAATGTGGCTGATAATTATGTGTCATCAACTACTAGTTTCTTTCCTAATGTCTTCATCCTTTTCTTCTGCACCAACATAATCTGACTTTAGGTAGATATAAAAAAATTTACATTTTGCTACCTCACTAGAGGTCATCTTATGTGGCACAGCTCTTAGCAAGAAGATATAAGTGGAGATCAGTGAATCAGACTTCTAAAAAATTAGTTGGTACATACCCTTCTGCCCTTTTGCCCTTTGCTTCACTTCTTTTATCCTTACTAGAAAGGAAAGTTAATTCGCTATATCTGCAGAAACTGAATGTGACCATTAGAGAAAAATTGAGGTAAGTGAAGAGATATTTGTTCAGAAATCCCTAAACCCTAAATCAAGGCCTATAACTACCTACTCTACCTCTGGTTTCTCATTACATAGAAATGCACTTCTCTGTTCAAGGTACTGTTATTTGGATTTTCCGTTACAGTAGGCAAAATTATTTATTGATAGCTAAATAGATTAATTTTAAAATGCATTACAAGTTCTTGAAATGCTGGGATAGCAATAAACAAGCAAACCAATACATGAACGAATGAAGAAATAGATGAGCATATCGATAGATTTGATTTGATACAAGCTCACAAAATGGCAAACATAATTTCTTTTTTTTTTTTTTTTTTTTGAGATGGAGTCTCACTCTGTCACCCAGGCTAGAATGCAGTGGCATGACCTCTGCTCACTGCAACCTCTGCCTCCTGGGTTCAAGCGATTCTCCTGCCTCAGCCTCCCAAGTAGCTGAGACTACAGGCCCATGCCACCATGCCCAGCTAATTTTTTTTATTGTTAGTAGAGACGGGGTTTCACTGTGTTAACCAGGATGGTCCTGATCCCCTGACCTCATGATCTGCCTGCCTCAGCCTCCCAAAGTGCTGATTACAGGCATGAGCCACTGTGCCCAGCCTGGCAAAAGAAATTTCTAAGAGCTAGAGATCAAGAGCAAAGCTAGCTTAGCAAATTTTTTCTAAGAGATGTATACAGGATTTGGCAGGTGAGGGTTGTTGTGCCTTGTTATATGTGAAAAGATTCTGAGGATATAGGCGTAAACAACCAAGTTATTAGAAGTTTTGACATCTCAGGGAGCTATAACCTTGGTAGCACTTGATGCCAATGATTAGGATTCACACATAAAGCTAAGAATCTCAAGGTGAACTACAGAAATCCTTGTATGTATAATCATAAGAACAAAAGGGGAAATGTCATTTCTAGAATTAGGGTTAAAAAACAACAACAGCACAACAATAATCTTTTCTGAAATGAAATACATTATTCCCGAAGTTCCCTCAGGGAAGACCCAGGAGTTCTAAACTCATTGCTAAGAGCTCCTAGTGAGGCCAGCTGTAGACATTTAAATAAAACAAACCATTCAAGAGACATTTAGTAGATTAGATTTAGCAGATAAAAATATGGATCTGATAAAATTATTTATAATGCAGCCCTGAGAGGTACAGAAATCACACACAAACATACACAAATGGTGGAAGGCATAGAGCATGAAAAAGTTCAGCTTATGTCTAATCTGACTTCCAAAGAATATGAACTGAAGTGTGTGTGACAGGTGTTATTCAAATAGATGAAAATAAATAAAAATTTCCCAGAATTTTGAAAACAACAAAAATAAAAAGTTACCAATACTTACTTTACATTAAGTCATTGAGGAGGCTAAAAACTGCACACTGAGAGACTTTAAAACTTGACAATAATGATGCATAAAGTAAAATAAGGATTGGTTAGAGAGTTGGGGAGATGGTGATAAAAGGATACAAGGTTTCCATTAGAGAGGAGGAATAAATTCAGATCTGCTGTACAACATGATGACTATAGTTAACAATAGATTGTATTCTTAAAAAATGCAAAAAAAAAAAGAAAATATTAACCTTGCAAATACAGAGACTTTTCTGTAACAACCTACAATTTTTGCATATTAAAGAAAGTACTTTACTTTGTTTTACTATAATATATTCATTGCTTTTGATTTTTTTAAATCAACAGAATGTTATCTTAGTCAATTTCAAAGTTTTTCTAACTTTGAGAACAGAAAACCTGATTCAATTTAGATTTGTTTTATGTCAAAAATGCATTTTCAAAATATAAGGCTAGATAAATGATTCTAAACTTTGTTCCATCATAGCACATACAGAGATGATATTTGCTAACACAAAGTGATAAATGGAAGAAAGTACTCATAGCCAGAGGTGATCATCCTGGGCCCTACACAGTTGTCGTGAAGCCCAAGGGGATTAATATCTGAGCATGAATTCTCTATAAATACTCATTTATTGCAGACTGTTGTCACACAGCATCCTTTGATTAAAGCTCTGACTTAAAAATAGAATTAAAATATATAGCTTCAAAGCTAGTAAGATAGATAAATAATTGAAGAAATACTCAGCAGTCCCTAAAGAAGTAGAAAATTGGGTGGGGGCAGGAAGGAGTGAAAGAAAACATAGAAAAACTGTGCTAACACAGTTATTGAAAAGGCAAAATATTTTAAGATGGATGAGCATCACAAGGATAAACAGTCTGCTATATAAAATTTAGAAGGAAAAGTCAATATCATCATGTAAGTACAAAAAATTACAAAAATACTGTGGCATCAATATATGAAAGGAACATTGTGCATCTACAAGAGGAAAAAGATAACCTATACAATATTATGTGGGACAATTTAGCACATTTTTCTCAGCATTTTATAGATCAGCTTGGATTAAATTTAGAAAGAAAATAGAGCTCTAGAAAACATATTTGATAACCATGAACATGTATATTGATTTAATCATTATATATGTGTGTATTTACATATACATGATTGTACTTTTTGAGGCTATATGATAAAGTATTCAGTATACATAATATGTAATACATTATTTTGAGAATATGTGTATATATGTATATACACACAAAAAACACACATATAGGCATTCATAAACATTAAACTTTTCATAAATGGCGATATTGAATGCAAAGCAAGACTCAAATTTACAAAAAGTTGATATCATAGAAAAAATTATCTGAAAACAAGGAAAATAAATCGATTTACTTACAGAAATTTAATTCCATTTAACCTAAATGTCATGTGCTTATCAAAGCATTAAAAAAGATTTAGCTTATCATCACTGGTCATTAGAGAAATGTAAATCAAAACCATAATGAGATACTATCTCATGCCAGTTAGAATGGCGATCATTAAAAAGTCAGGAAACAACAGATGGTGGAGAGGATGTGGAGAAATAGGAACGACTTTACACTGTTGGTGGGAGTGTAAATTAGTTCAACCACTGTGGAAGACAGTGTGGCAATTCTTCAAGCATCTAGAACCAGAGATAACATTTGACCCAGCAACCCCATTACTGGGTATATACCCAAAGGATTACAAATCATTCTACTGTAAAGACACATGCACACGTGTGTTTATTGCAGCACTGTTCACAATAGCCAAGACTTGGAACCAACCCAAATGTCCATCAGTGATAGACTAGATAAAGAAAATGTGGCACAAATACACCATGGAATACTATGCAGCCATAGAAAAGGATGAGTTCATGTCCTTTGCAGGGACATGGTTGAAGCTGGAAACCATCATTCTTAGCAAACTAACACAGGAACAAAAAACCAAACACTGCATGTTCTCACTCATAAGTGGGAATTGAACAATAAGAACACATGGACACAGGGAGGGGAACATCTCACACCAGGGCCTGTCACAGGTTGGGGGCTAGGGGAGGGATAGCATTAGGAGAAATACCTAATGTAGATGACAGGTTGATGGGTGGAGCAAACCACCACGGCATGTGTATATCTATGAAACAAACCTGCACGTTCTGCACATGTATCCCAGAATTTAAAGTATAATTTTAAAAAAGCTTTTCTAAATTATTAATATATTATGGTGATGTTAACTACATTTGCAAATCATTATAACTGAATGATCATGGAAAACACTGCACATTGCCATTAACAAAATATTTAAATAATAATTTCCTCAAATTCATATATGAGAAATGTGTGTATGCCTATGTATTCTTTTTTTTTTTTTTTTTTTTTTTTGAGGCGTAGCGTCACTCGTCTCCAAGGCTAGAGTGCAGTGGCGTGATCTCAACTCACTGCCAACCCCCATCGCCCAGCTTCAAGAGATTATCACACCTCATCTTCCTGAGTAGCTGGGACTATAGGCACGCACCACCATGTCCAGCTAATTTTTTTGTACTTTTAGTAGAGATGAGGTTTCACAATGTTGGCTGGGCTGTTCTCGAACTCCTGACCTCAGGTGTTCCACCCTCCACGGCCTCCCAAAGTGCTGGGATTACAGGCGTGAGCCACTAGGCCAGGCCGTGTTCTCTCTTCTAAGGGCACCAGTAATACTGGATTCGAGACGTATCCTCATCCAGTGTAATCTCATCATAATTGATCACATCAGCAAATGTGCAGTCCTGTTTCCCCATAAGATCACAGTCTGAATTTCAAAGTGGACATAAATTTGGGTGAGGGAGATACTACCCAGTTTATTGTATATGGCTTAAGAAAAAAATAGACAAGGCACCTGAATTGTACTAAACCAAACACCTCCATGGGCCAGTTCTACCAACTATTTAAGGAACATATTTTCTATCTATAGAAAGTGGTCAAGAGATCTGAGCAAGAATTTTACTATATAGTATGAGATTAGTGAGACGTTTCTACAAAACCCGAAGAAGAACACTACTGCAATGGAAAAGAGTGGACCAATCTCGACCAGAAATGTAGTCCCTCATTATTTTTTAAATATTAAGAGAGTGGTGTCAGCAATGCATTAAGTACCTGCACATTATGGAAGGGAGATTCCATATATAAATGAATGCATTAACACATTAAATGAGATTCATTATATACTTGTCTTAATTGAGGCAATAAAAAAGGCTAAATTGATTTTTAAAAATCACCACCTACTCGTAATAAATTATACTTAGCAAACCAACAAAAGAGGAGTAATTTCTCAATGTGATGCTGGGTATTTAGCAGAAGAAAGAAGCTCTAAATTGAGGGCAGATATCTAGGAAGAGTCCATTTATTATCTTTTAATTTTAAAGAGAAACTTAAGCCAGTGTTTACATGTCCTCTGTCTAGAAAATAAAGATGTGTAATTTGTATCATGGTAGGTAATCAATGTAAGTTTACATTTAGTAAGTTATCCATTAAAACAGTGTTATCCTATGTTTGAGTAAACTAAGTTCCCCTAAAAAACATTCTTGCAAACACTGTTGATTACAGCAAATTTTAAATTAATCACTGAAGTAATTTTATCCTTGCTGGTAGTGGTTGTTTTCCATGTGAGCTGCCCACATATTTTTTGTATCCACTTACGAAATAGCACAGAGTTTTTTATTATTATTATTCCTGGGCAGAAATGTCTTATATGCAATTTCATAACAATAGATTACAAAAAATTAATAAATTTAACTTAGGAAATTCATCTCACTTGCAATTACTCTTATATAATCATCTTCTTACATGCTCCTTTACTTTTGAGACCAAGAAAAATCACCAGTCTTACACTTTTTATAGTCACCCTATTGGGGAAACAATTTTTATCCACCAAAGTTTTGCATCAAGTACAAAAGGGATTTGTGATCCATGTTTTCTTTTCATTTTAACAAATGACAAATTAGGATATTTGGTTTTGTAATAATAGTTTTGTAACTCCATATCCTCATTCCATTGCTTCTTTTGAACCAATTTGCTTTATAATAAAATATTTTGAGTAGAAACCTTCTCTTGATCATCTCAATCTTATTTATGAATACATATAACATTTACATAAGTAAATAGTTTTAATTTTCAATACTACTGTAGTCTACATAGCATTTTATCACAAGTTCCACCACATATATACTATATACCATGCTGCTTAGATTTTTAATTTCTCTTAGAATGTATTAGACCAAAGACATAACCTTATTCTCTAATGTAATGTGATTTTGCCCTTACCTTTCTAACAAAACTAGTAAAGTCTCAAATAATTTCTGAATAATCAGAAGTGTATGTTCAATGTTTTTTACTAGACTGCACTCTCTTATTATGCAATTGAGTAATACCAAGAGACAAATGAAGTATTAATAATCACATTTCTATTTTGTGTCTGAAAATTAGATTTGTTAATACTAAATTCCTTTAAATTGTTTGCCTTTCCTTTCTATCTCTTGTGTGAACAGACCACACAACCCATGTGTTAGGGGTGCTTGTATTTTCAGAAAGAGCCATAGGCTCTGTAAGCTACCCAATCCTTTGGTAACCGTGGACAAATACATAATAGAGAGAAGTCCCCTTATGAGTTGTTGTACTTTCTTCACTGGAGCCCATGAACTCGGGTTAGAACAGCCAAGAGGGTTGAGGTCTATCATTAAAGCGATTTTGTGATGGAAGTATCATTATAGCTAACTAAGATAAGAAAATATCTCTCCTCTTATTTGTGGAAAAGATGGATGTGTTAGCCCTTATAAATTCCACTAGGCACAAAGAAAATCAACATGTACTAGTTAGTAGCACAAGAGAGAGAATTAGACAGCAAGTCTATACCACAAGCCTGGCTCACTAAAATGCCATACTTAAATCTGATCAACTGTATGAAGGTCTTGAACAAAATAATATAAAATATTATTTACAGCATTATAAGATACTGGTTGTTTGATACATTGTTTATTGCATTTCAGGGATGGAACATCTCCAAAAATCCCAGCTTTCAGAACATGTGGAGTGCTTAATCTGCTTAGAAAAATTGAAAACAAAACAAAAAAATGGGTAATAATTTCGAACATGGAAAGAAAAATCATCTCTAACTCTTAGGATATAACTAAGACAGAAATTGTGGTTAATAATGACCACAAAAGTAACAGTAAGTATACTAAAATAAATAAATTACTAGATAATCTTTAAATCAAAAGATAATGAAAAATATTTTTCCAACCTCTCTGGAACATACTAGAAACCTGGCTTGCCCAGAACTTGTTTTCAGAGAAAAAAAATTAATTTTAAATATCTTTAATATTGAAGAAAACGGTTATTCTAAGATAATTGAAAGATTTAAAAGGAAGTTTATAACTATGAAGAGAAAATTAACTCTAAAAATGGCATTAATTAACATGACTAAATAATAATAATAAATGAGAAAGAACTAATAAATCCAAAATATAGTTCCTGAAAAGTTAAATAACAATTAGCCCCAAAAAGCAAGGAGAAAGAGGAAAGAGAGAGCACAGGTATACATAAACTTCATGAATTTGTTTTAATTTTTAGCTTACAAAAATAAGTGAAAACTTGCAAAGTTTGTCTTTCTGCCAAAAACCACATGATTGTCTCAACATATGCAGTAAATAAAGGCTTTCAATAAAATTCAACATCCATTTAGGTTAAATCTCTTAATAAACTAGATGATAAAGGAAAATACTTCAAAATAATCGGAGCCATCTATGACAAACCCACAGCCAACATCATACTGAATGGGCAAAAGCTGGAAGCATTCCCCTTGAAAACTGATACAATACAAAGATGCCCTCTCTTACCACTCCTGTTCAACATAGTATTGGAAGTGTTGGTCAGGCCAATTGGGCAAGAGAAAGAAATAAAGGTATCCAAATAGGAAGAGACGAAGTTAAACTATCCCTGTTTGCAGATGATATGACCCTATATCTAGACTTAAGAAGTTTAAAAGAGAAATCAATATTTGAGGGTCTCAGAGTTTAGTTTTATTTAAAGAACGGAACACCCCAAATAATTTTCAATCAATTTTAGTGCATGGAAAGCTGAACAATGTATTTTAAATAGACAATATGTCTTTAATAACAACACCAGATGAAATTACCATATGAAAGAAAATTATAGATATCATCTTATTTATGTATGAATATAGATGCAAATATGTAAATAAAGCAGTGCTTAGAATACCTAGAATGGACAGTATATTAAGAGAAAGATATTCTATATGATTTTATAGTCATTTTTCAAAATTTAAGGAGTTTTTAGTTTTAAAACATGTATTAAAACAGTTTTGAAAAATGATGATTTTAAAAATAAATGTCTATATATGCTGATAATTTTTAATTTAAAAGTCTAAGTAATATAGAGAAAAGGATCAGGAGATCCAGTTAAATAGGATGCAAATTATTTCCAGAATTTCAGAGTAGATAGTAATCTAAACATTGTAAAACTAAAATATACTTTTACAATATATAGTTCCTGTAGGGACAATCTTGAGTTTTCTTTATAGACAATTAAATTGTCTGTTATGTATGCATTTTTTATTTCTTTCCAAAATTTTCCTTTTAATACATTAATTATTTTATTATTCTTCCAGTCTCAATGCTCTGAATGTGCCATCTAGTATACTTTTAAAGAGAAATGGTGTAAGCATGTTTCTTGTTTCTTTGTAGACTTAAAAGGAAAATTTCACTGTTTACTATTAATTTATAATGAGAAAATGAATCTCTCATATAATAATAATATAATATTGACAGCATGTATTGAATTGAGGTGGTGAGTAATTGGTGTCTGCTACAATGTTTTTCAAAAGTTCACCTTTTTAGTTTATAAAGTAACTGTATTTTACGAAAATAGTTTTAAAGTGTTGCTCTTCCACAAACTTTGCCTGAAGCAGGGTAATTTGATGGATACATATATTTATTTTCTATCTTGGCCTCTATATCTTAATATTTTGCTTGTCTCTTTCTTGATTGCCTCTTTTAAAATCTTTCCATGTGTGAATTATTATGCACTATTAGAGACTCTACCCCATCTCTACAATCTGAACTCTCTCTCTCTCTCTCTCTCTGGATATTTCTACAAATGCAAGGTTTTTCTCAGTCATTTTGCCAATTGGGAACCTCTGGACAACAATGTTCCCCACTTGCTCGGCCACACTACCAGCTGCAGGAGATGGCCTGTTCACCTGGCCTGCTGGGGACACACCTGACTTGTGCACTGGCTCAGCCCGTGGCTGAGCTGGGCATGCCCCAACCCACCTGTGTTATAGCTCATACCTGCATTTGGCAGCTCCCGAGTTCTCGTCCCACATCCAAGAAGAATGTGGATATGCTGCCAATTGAAGGATGAGGAGAGTGGAGAATAATTTTATTGAGTGAGGGAAAACCTCTCAGCAGAAAGGGGATGGAGGAATGGACCCCCACCGGAAGTCAGTGGTTTCTATCCCAGTGTGGCTGGGTCTGGGGTTTTTATGGGTTCAGAATAGGGGAGTGTGTGCTGATTGGTTGTGAGTAGGCAAAAAAAGTTACAACAAAGGCACCACTCAAAGGTGGGCATGACAGTGTAAAAAAAAGCCAATTAGGGAAGGGTGGGCATATGTAAAACAGGTGAAGGGTGAGGATCAATCAGGAGAAATCATACCAAACCAGAAGACAGCTTCTCAATCTGGTCCATGGATTTACTTAGGACTTATAGCTAGGATTTAAACTGTCTTTGGGTTGAAGGTGGGGTTTCTCTGGGGACCAACCCTGTCTGCCTCAGCATTTGTCTGTCTCCTGCTGCTCTCACTACTATTCCATGGAAAAATTTTTCCTAATATGTGATTTTCATATGTTTTTGTATAAGACTGACATGAATAGATATTCACTCAACAGAACAACTAAATTTCACAGGCTAAAACTCTGAAGACTTCCTTTAAAAAGTTTCAGAATATTTATACATTTCAATAATAAGAATTAAACATTGTCTAGGGAATTTTAATTTTATTGATCAATAATATATGTACTGATTTTATATAGAAATAATTATTTGCACAGATGCAGGCATACTCCACTTTTGTTCTAAGTACCTGCTACTTGAATTGGCCAAAATAATTTAAACAATTAGCTTACTGTCATCTATTCATAACTCACTAAGGTGTAAAAAAATAATTTTTATCTAGACATTTTGTTTTAAAACTAAAATTTAGTATTAAACTTTGGAATTTAGAAAAGTTGAATAATTCATTTGAATTACTCAGTAATATTACAAAATATGAAGAAATATCTGGTTAAGAACATTTATTGCAGCCTTTGAAGCTCATCAAAAGTCTCTTTCAGGGTCAAGAAACCTCCTCTAGTCTGAAGAGAGAGACAGTTTTCAAATTAAGTAGCTGCTACTCTGAAATGCCTTATAGTCACACATCTCTTTGTAATGTCAGTTCTGTCAATACTTGGGCTTCAAAATTCAGTTAATAACATAGTCCATAGAGATATTTACATACTTCAGAGCAAAATTTACTCACTCAAATAATCAGGTTTCTATAAAATAAAATAAATATTATAGTAAAAAGTTAGACATTGCAGCAGTGAGTATATGTTTTTTAACATTAGCCCTAACGAATACATTTTTTTTTTTTTTGAGTTGGAGTCTCGCTCTGTCACCCAAGTTGGAGTGCAGTGGTGTTACCTGGGCTCACTGCAACCTCCACCTCCTGTGTTCAAGGGATTCTCCTGCCTCAGCCTCTCTGGTAGCTGGGATTATAGGCGTGTGCCAGCACACCCAGCTAATATTTTGTGAGTTTTTTTTAGTGGAGATGGGGTTTCACCATGCTGGTCAGGCTGGTCTCAAACTCCTGACCTCAAGTAATCTGCCTACTTTAGCCTCCGAAAGTTCAGGAATTACAGGTGTGAACCATCATGCCTGGACCCAAATACATTTTACTTAAACGTAACTCAATAGTTACTTAAATGTTTATTTAAATGTATCTCAATATTCGCACATTCATCCGTCAAAAGTTATCAAATTCATAATAAATGAAGTGTCACTATGTTCAAGGAGTTGCTATTCCTTCTCTACATCATGAGATATAAAAAGTACTGGCTCTAATTATTGAAGCATCTGTATATATGCTTTACTCAGGGAAAACTTTTGGAGAGCCTGGGGTTGGCTTTTAAAAATATGCTTCTGCCACAATAAAATCCACCTAGAGAATCTGTAGAACTTTTCTTGTCTATGTGAGGTTTTTCCCTTATATATGTACACTACACCATGATGAAGAGAAAAGAACTTATTGAAAAAAAAATTGTGCCCATGGTATAACTTGAGACCAATCATTTGATCTGAATTTGGTTATTTGTGTGACATTCTTCAAAGATTAAATAAACTCAAAATGAAAACCTGGGCCTTTGTATTTAAATTCCACTTTTTCCTATGCTTGTACATTACTAAGACCTCTGGATTTTTAACACGTATGTGTGTGAGCTTATTGACAGGGTATTTGTCATTTATTTGTGTCATAATGCCCATTCTTTTTTATACTCATGGTCTTCAATGTGCAAAGTAAATTACTTTAAATTTGTTAATCCAAGTCCATACATTCATTGTATATTTTGTAGGAAATCTATACTTTTAAAAAACTTTTTATAAAAGACTACCTTGCCAGATAATACACATTTTTTCCTGAAATTTGACATTATTATTTTTAAGAGTCCAAGGAAAAATGGAAGGGACTTGACAGAGAGTTTCTACCAAGTTGTCTTCTAAGATGCTATCAAGAGTGTAACCAAAATATAAGAAGTATATGAAGGGAAAATAATTCAAGCCCAGAACTTTTATTCATAAAATATTTTGTCTTCCCCAGGGAAACAATTTTGTGATTAAAGTTTATATTTCGTATTCATCATTTCTTGTTAGGCTATTGGTTATATTATGGTAATAGAAAACATAGAATAGAAAACATATTATTAAAACTACTATTAAAACATACTATTAAAACATACTATTAAAACTCTTGATATGTCAATGTAGTATATTATACTATAAAACTAGTGTAGTAGCTTAGTAGTATAACAAACTATTAAAACACACTATTAAAACATACTATTAAAACTCTTGATATGTCAATGTAGTATATTAATGTGGAATTCCCAGGGGATGCCTGTCAAAACTTGTCTTCATATATCTTATAAATATTTCTTTGCGAAAGTAGGCAGTTTCTATTTTAATGCTGTGTTGTTAACTTAAAGCTGAACATGTATAAAACTGATTTTATGTTTTAAAAAAACAAATCAGTTGCTCATAGTCATTTAAAGCACAAGTTACTTATATGTGTCATGCTAAATGGTATTTAAAAATAAAACAAAAAATATATTTATTCATTTTAATGTCTTAATTTAGGCATGACCTCTAAAATTTTTAACTTATTGTTCCTCAGATATTTTAGATCTATTATATGATTGCATATGCTTCATAGTTTATGTTGTCCTTAATTCAACTTATCATCATGAAGAAAGAATTAATGCAAAGATAAATACATGCATAGTGTCATCTCAAGTAATACTTTTTGAAGAAAACCTATTTTTTGTACATGAAAGTCCTAATAAAGCAAAAAATTCACCATAAAAACATTTCATTACAATATTATTGATTGTACTCTTTACATTTAATTTGCATTTGGCAATCCCAATATGTGCTCTGCAGTTTTATGAATTGCTGATTCAATATATAAGTGGCTATAATAAATCCTTCCAGATCCAAGTCCTTTAAAAGAGTGAGATATCACTGGCAGAATAACAGAAGCATTCCTTTATGCAAACATTACATTAAGGTGAGATAAATCTAAGAAATGGTCACACAGGCACATATGACACCACCACATGAGGAATTAACTTGAATTAGCTTATTTTGATGTGTTTGGTACTCTGAGAAGTCCTCGCCCAAGAGACTAACTAGGGCTCTCAGAAGCCACAGTGTTTGAGGTACTGATGGTCACCCAAGTAGTAGGGAAGTACTCAAGAACTGCCTTCTCCTGGAAATGCTAACTGTTACAGTGGAAGCTAGGAACACCAATAAGCAAACAACTGGCATGTTTTGGAGAGAAAAAAATACGGGTTTCCCTGAGGACAAACATCACAGAACACTAAGAGGAGCAACAATATCAGAACATAAAAACTTTGGCAAGTAGCAAAGTTATCTGAACCTGGATGTGTGGTTCACTTCCTCTCTCTTTCTCTCTGTCTTTCCTCCCTCCTCATCCATCACACTCACTGAGCCAGATGACTTATTGCAAACAAAGAGTTTCCAATTTGGTGATGCTCCTAACTAGAAACAAAAGGAGAGGGAGATTATCTCTGAAGAAAAGTGATCCCAATTTAAGCACATATTGAAAGAAGGTGGAATAAATTAATATGCAGAGACAATCAAACACAGAACAAAGTGTACACTACTTTGTGTTTGGTTCAGTAGAAATAAACAAACACAACAAAACAACAAATTACATCTATATTCCTGAAGACTGCATACTTTATATTTAAACATGTGCTTTCCACAAAAGCCCACAAGACAAAGAGCTGGCATTTAAGCATATGTCATTCAGAAGGCATGGATAGTCACATCAGTTATTTTTTCCCCTGCACAGTCAGAATCACATGAAGAAGATGGAAGAGTGACTTGAAGAGTTAGGTGGACATGGAGTGAAAAAGCTGAGAAACATCACATTTCCTTTCCACCGCATTCTTCAGAGGCTCAGCCATGCTGAAGCTGAATCTTTCTGTTTGCTTCTGTAGCATCTATTTGCCATGCCTTCTTAATTTTACATGGAATTCAGTGTAGTTTCCGGCAAACTAATCCATATCGCAGCCAGTTTAATCCAATTTTAAGTCATGCTTTCCATCTCTCTGGAATGAGCAATGCAGAGATTAACGTGCAATTTATGCTATGCAATCAAATACTGAAGGTATTTATAAGACCTGGTCAGCTTCCATGAGGCAAGTCAATGATAGAGTCAAAAAACCCACAGAGGAATTGTGGCGGGACCTCCCTAACATTGGATTTGACAGTTTCTGATTTCTAATTTTCCTTTCTTCTTCTCCTTCTTATTTTGTATTTAAATACAGTTGTTTAGTCTATAAAACACCAGAGGTATTAACTATAAATTCTGGTAATTCTAGCATGTGCTCTATACCCCACAGAATACCTTTTTTAAACCTTAATGCTTCTCTCGTTCCATTCCCACTGCCGCAAGAGCATTAAGCAAAGTTCACATCATTTCATACCTAAACCATCACTTCTTAACAGGCCTCTCTGGTCCTTATATTTCCCCCAGCCAATCTATCTACTCTTTCCCTACAGCACTTTTTCAATGCCAACCCTTCCAATCAATTAAATAACATAATTAAAGATCCATGATGGAAGTGAACAAAGGAGCAGGGAGGGAACCAAGTTTGGGGAGGGTGACCAGGGAAGGCCCCTCATAAATAGTGACATTTAAGCTGATTGTGCTGAGACCTGAAGTTAGCAAGTTGTTGCATAGTCCAGGTGAGAATATGAAAGGAAGGCACAGATTTAAGTGGTAGCTCTAGGAGTCAGGGAGGAGAGGAGATGGTGGATTTTTTCCCTGGATTTATTTATAATTCCTTGAATAAACCCAAGTTCCATGCAAACTTTCTCTCTGAAAATGTATCTATTCTGTCACCCTTGCAAATTCGTAGCAAGTACAGCATTGCTCATGCAATTCCTTCCATCTACTCCACCTTCAAGATCTAAAGACCACTCTCTTTTTGAAGAGCACACAGCCAGAAGGCAACATTCCCACTACTGAATTCCAGTGGCCTTTTTTTTTTTCACTTTTGTTTTAAGTTCAGAATTACATGCTCAGGTTTGTTATATAGGTAAACTTATGTCATGGGGCTTTGTTTTACAGATTATTTCATCACTCAGGTATTAAGTCTAATACCCATTAGTTATTTTTCCTTATCCTCTCCCTTCTCCCACTCTTCACCCTCCAATATGTCTCAGTGTGTTTTTCCCTTCTATGTGTCCATGTGTTCTCAATATTTAGCTCCACTCTTATAAGTGAGAACATGCAGCATTTGATTTTCTGTTCCTGTGTTAGTTTGCTAAGGATAATGACCTCTAGCTCCATCCATGTTCCTGTGTAGGATATAATCTTGTTCTTTTTTTGGCTGCATGGTATTCCATGGTGTATATGTACCACATTTTCTTTATCCAGTCTACCATTGATGGGCATTTAGGTTGACTCCATGTCTTTGCTATTGTGAATAGTGCTGCAATGTACATACACATGCACGTGTCTTTATGGTAGGACAATTTACATTTCTTTGGGTATATACCCATTAATAAGATTGCTGGGTTGAATGGTATTTCTGTTTTTAAGTCTTTGAGAATTGCTACATTGTGTTCCACAATGGTTGAGCTAATTTACACACCCACCAACCTTCCCTTTGTTATTTAAGCCAGTATGACTAAAGGGTTATCTTTTTGATAGGAAAAATTTCTAATAACTAGATATGACATTGACTGTCTTAAGTGTAAATTATTCTCGTATAGCAATACTCAACATTTCATTTTCATAAGGTTGTATACTATATGTTATGTGAACTACCCATCCCTTGAGTATGATATCAGTATAGCTTACAGACTGACTATCTTTCTTTGCTAAGAAAGTTTATAAAAGTGCAGAGTAAGATTGATTCTATCCAATTATTTTTGTATACCCATGTACAAAAAGGCAACAAAATATTCAGAAGACCATGATAGATTCTCATTCCTTAGTTTGTCTAAGGAAACTTTCCATCCCAATAAGCCAAGGGCATCATCACAAGTCCTTTAAATATCAGAAATGGAGATACTCTAGAAGGCTGATTAGCATTCTTTACAAGGTAAGACATAAGGAGGTTAGGAACAGCTTTGCAGAATCAGCATAGTATTATGAACTGACAATCACCTTGAAGAAGACAGCTCATTAGCAACCTAAACCATGAAAACACCATAGAAAACTAAAGATCTCCATGGGTGACATGGAGCAGAAAGCTGTCAGTGAACACTGCTACTTATTTAGCACAATTGCCTTTAAAGGAAAAGCTAATGGGAAAAAAATAGAAAACCAGATCAATAAAATCAGCATGACCTTCAAATGGCAGGAGGCAGAGCATGTTATCCAACCAAGTTAATAGTTTCTTGAGCAGTTAAACACCACTGATTTTGAAGGTTTTGTTATTTGTATATGACATGGACATTACTTATACAACTTTTGAAACATAATTACTTAGAAGTTGACCAAATATGTTCTATATTTGACAAAAAAATGACAAAAAACAATGATTAAGTCCATCTAAATATTAGAAAGGCAACGAGTATTTGTGGCAGTTTTACGGAAGTATCATAAGTATCATATAAAAAAAGAATTTTTAATGAGAGAAAAGGAGTATGTGTGGCCTCTGGTTTATATTAGAAAAGTAAAGAAGTGGGTGTCTTTGTTCTAAAGCATAGACGTAATAGGCAAGTTCACAGAGAAATGTCAAATAACTGAGAAATATTTATATTTTATGATTCCTATATCTGTATAAACCCAATGTACAACTTTAGCTCCTATCTCTCTATGATACAATTCTCTATTTTCATTGATTATGTAACATTTAACCAAAAATGAAAAGTAAAAATATTACCAGTAGTAACTAAGGCATAAATATATAGAAATAGAAGGAGATAGAAAAAGAGAGAGAGAATGAGAGAGATTTGTTTATGTAGATGCATAAAATCTAATCAATCTGTCAGCTATTGCTTAATAATGATTAGCAATGTAATGATTAGCATTTAGTAAGTGGATGGAGTAGGGAAATCTAAGAATGCGAATTCATGAATGTTTCTCAGGTTGAAAGGTACAAATAACAAAAGTAAAACTAAATTTCTGCATTTTTTGAGTATTTGTTGGCATGCCTATTTTTGTCAGTGCATAAATCTAGTTCTCAATACTGATTCAAGTAGTAAAGCAAGGAGTAATCAAAACCCAAGGATGAAAGGCACTAAAGGTACAAAACCTTGTTAATTAGCTTGATTATGGTAACCATTTCACAATGTATACACACATGAAAGCATCTTGTTATACAACTTAAATATACACATGTTTATTTATACAATTTATACAATTATAAATTATATTTATACAATTTATCCTCAATAAAGCTGAGGGAGAAAGGAGTACAAAACCTGTTGTGGACATTAAGTGTTCTCATCACAAAAATGATAGCTATGTGAAGTAATGCATTTGTTAGTTAGCTAAATTCAACCATTCCACAATATATATTTACTGTAAAATATCATGTTGTACATAATAAATACATATAATATGACATGTAGATTTGAAGAAATAAGTTAAGAAATCTATCATGTGGCTTCTCTGAAATGTTTAAATGCCTAAAATATTTTAAAATGTTTAAATAATGCATTTTTGTAAAGAAATAGCATTAACATCTTGTGTGGGATATGGAAGCACATATACATAAAATAAATCTCCCCCATTCTATAATAAAATAGCTACGTAATTATTAAGCAATAAAAATCAAAAGTTATTTATGTTTTTTAAACCCACTTATAGCTTAACAACAGTAAACACTGCTACTGCTTTTCCCCGTCAGTAACGATTTTACCTGTTTAAAAATATAGAAACTACCTAAAATGAAGGGGGAATTTAGTTTCCTCTGGAGAAAATTCTAAAGCTTGCTTCTTGGGTTGAAACTGTAAATAGGTAACTAATGATATTTGATATTCCAGGATATGATTATAAATAATAATCTAATATATACAGTAAAATTGAATTTTGACCTTTTATTCGCCTCTGAATAAACATGATAAAAGACCATTGAGACTAGGGAATTTAAACTAAAGAAAAAATCAATAATATTAACTAGACTTTCCTCAGTAGACTAGAATATATCCTTATGTCTGTGCTAAACTGCCTGTAAAGTCACTTTTTTGCATTGACAAAACTCTTCAATTATTAGAGACATAAAAAGCTTGCCTAAACATTTTAGATTATATCTCAGGAGAATATTACTTAAATTTCCAAAGTTTTTTCTCTGTTATTTAGTTAAAGTTACCTCAATAATTGTTGAAATAACTAAAGAAAAATTATATACTTTAAGAGAGGATTTTTCTATTTTTTTTTTCCAATGTAGTTCAAAAATTTCCTCCTGTGAAGTCTTGGTGATCACTTATTTTGTCAAATTTCTTAATGTTTTTAGTTGCTTATTTCTTTAGGTCATAAATATTGTTATGAATATTTTGAAAACATATGCTACAGCTATTTCAAACTAAAGCAGTTCCTATTTTTGATGTTCTTTATTACGTTCTGGGGCATTGAACATATATGTTTTTATACATATGCATGCATATATATTTATCTCTATACATACATTTTAATTTGCAAGCTCTAAATACATATATTTTTGAAGTCTGAATCTGATGGGTAAGAAATAAAATGTTATAAAATTACGCCCTTCAAAAGAGACTCTAGCTTAAAAGTCATATAGGCCCATGGGCCGACTTCATCCCACAGGTGCACTTTGTTTGACTTTGTTATCACCATTTTTAAAAGGTAAATTCCACTTAAATACCCCATAGGCACTTGAAGTTTTTACCTTTGTTCTCCTTTGACTCCTGGATGAGATAAGTTGAGGGGGTGGAGAGACGTCATCTGCACACTGTTAAGAAATTAAATATTACAATGTGCCAGTAAAGAAAGTTTCCGTAATTCATGGCACTTTATGAAAAAAAAAAATTAAGAATTATGATATGCCTGTCTTAGTCAGCTGGCTGCTATAACGAAATATGACAGACTGGGTGGCTTAAGCAACAGACATTTATTTCTGACAGTTTTGGAGGCTTGGAAGTAAAAAAATAAAGTGCTAGCCTTTTTGGTTCCTAGTGAAGTTTCTCTTCCTAGCTTGCAGATGTCCATCTTGCTATATCATCTCATGGAGGGGACACAGAGATAGAATCTCCTTTGTGTCTCTTCTTATAAGGACACCAATACTATCATGGAAACATCACACTGATGACTTCATATGAACTTAATTATCTCCCAAAGGCCACATCTCCAAATACCATAACATCGGTAGTTAGGGCTTCAAAATGCAACATAAATTTTGGGAGGGAAACACACCTTAAATCCATAACAATTCCCATACAAAACCACTGTTCTTTCTCTTCATTAATATTATAAAGACAATGTAAAAGGGTTTTCTAATAAACCTTCATAATAGTTTTTGATATCGCTCAAAATGACTGTGAAGATGTAATCTTATTTAAAACATTGGAAATTCCTCTTACTTTTTCTATCACTCTGTATGTTATCTAGAATCAATATGCACAAAATCAAATTATAGATCAGGTTTAAAAATAAAGTAAGCAAGAGATTAAAAGTAACTAAATATGAGTTTCACAAAGTGTAGAACCACAAAAGTGAGAGGTAAAGGAAACTGGTTGCCCTATATTTTTCTAAAATCATAAATTCTATTCTCTCTGTCAAAGCCATCATTTAAACAACATCATATTTTTATATTATTCCAAAGTTTAGCTGCTACTAAATTTGGCAGAAATTCTGAAGTATGTTCTTGCTGTCACCACCTTGACCTTGAGAAAAAAAATGTTCTTGAGGAGTGTTGCAAGAAGTGACGGAAAAGGGTATTTACACTTGCCCCATTTTGTTCATCCCAAGTGTTTTCAGAATGAACATTCTCATAGCTTTCATTTGCTCATGTTGAGTCTGCATATTGCTCTCAAAATAAAGAACAGCTTCTTCTTCAGACTCTAGCAGTCTCGACATAGATTCTCCTATGGAGATGGAATTATTTTGTCTTTAACATATCATTGTCACCAACTTGGCAATGCTCCAAGAATCACTTGTACCAAGAAACAGAGCCATAAAAGAAAATGTATAAATGAACATAGTAAAAGTGGTTTCAGGAAAGTCATCTTCCTTTGATGAAATGAATTTAAAATTCCTTTGCCTGTATTTAGAGACTACAGCTTCTTAGAAATAGCTAAAGTGTGAAGCCTGTGGCTCTAACAAAAGTCATCACTTCATACCTCAGAAGTGGTAATACAATAACATGAAGGATTGGAAAGCACTTTATACATATGATCTGATTTAAACTTCCCACCCAGTTTATAAATCGAACATTATTATTCTCCTTTTTCCAGGATGGAAACTGAGACTTCATGGTTATATCAGTAATTTTGACAGAAATATACATCTAGTAAGGACCAAGACAGTCCACCTTTATTTTATTTTAAAAGCACATTCTTCGGTAACTTTACTGTCCCTCCTCTTCCTAGAGAATGCATAGTTGGTACCGCTTAATAGAAAAAAAAATTCTCAATATATTAAATTATACATTCAGCAGCCCTCTAAATAATATCAGATTAAATTCCATCTTCAAATTTGTACTTCCTTTGCTTTTTATTATTTAGTCTGGACATCCTATTCTCATCCAAATATATATATATATATATATATATATATATATATATATATATATATATATTTTTTTTTTTTTTTTTTTTTTTGAGATGGAGTCTGGCTCTGTCACCCAGGCTGGAGTGCAGTGGAGCCATCTCAGCTCACTGCAAGCTCCGCCTCCTGGGTTCATACCATTCTCTGTCTCAGCCTCCCAAGTAGCTGGGACTACAGGCGCCCGCCACCTCGCCCGGCTAATTTTTTGCATATTTAATAGAGACAGGGTTTCACCATGTTAGCCAGGATGGTCTCAGTCTCCTGACCTTGAGATCCTCCCGCCTTGTCCTCCCGAAGTGCTGGCATTACAGGTGTAAGCCACCGCGCCTGGCCTCTCATCCAAATATTTACAAACATACATCTACTTCCTGTTTCTCTTTTTCCTCTTTCACTTCTTTTTTTTTTTTTGATGGCGTCTCTCTCTGTTGCCAGGCTGGAGTGCAGTGGCGCGATCTCGGCTCACTGCAAACTCCATCTCCCTGGTTCAAGCCATTCTCCTGCCTCAGCCCCCCGAGTAGCTGGGATTATAGGCATGCACCAAAACACCCAAATAATTTTTGTATTTTTAGTAGAGTCAAGGTTTCACCATGTTGGCCAGGATGGTCTCAATCTCCTGACCTTGTGATCTGCCCATGTTGGCCTCCCAAAGTGCTGGAATTACAGGCGTGAGCCATCGTGGCTGGCCCTCCTATTTCACTTCTTCCTGCTCCTCCTCCACCTTCTCCTTGTCCTACTCTACTGCCTTTTCTTTTTTCTTTACCTTTTAAAATTTTCCTTATTACAGAAAACTATATGACACATGGACCACGTGTACTTATCTCTTGGGGGTGTACTTCTGTATTTAATTCTGGGTAAAAGTGTTTGTCCTTTATTTTGCACTGTGTAAATCAAACCATCTAACATCTAATATTTTTCACTGGCAAGCTGGGAAAGTGTAGAACCAGTGCAACGTCTTAAGGAATAACTTTTCCAAAATCAAGATTTAAATGAAGGTATCTTTCTATATCCTTGTTCCTTTGCAATTTATACCAAATAATAATAATTTACATGTATTTTGTCAAGTTATTTAGTAACTGCTTTTCTATCATTGTCTAACTTCCTAGGTTTTTGCTTACTTAGCACTGCTATATCTTTACTTGGTAATAATAATTACAGTTATTATGGGTGAAAAATTCATTATATGAAAAGATATATAAACACTGTTATTAATGTAGGAAACACAAAACTTCTCAATATTTTAATACAAACAGAGCAAAATGTTTGAATGAATCTTAGATGATATAAAACGTAAAAACAAAAAAGTAAAATGAATGAAAAACGTTATATTACTGACCATGGGGTCTTGGACTCTCAATGCAATAAAAATTGACATGAGGCCAAAAGAGTTTTCCCAGACAAGGCTTCATTGAATCTTATGCCCAGGCATAAGGGAGGTAACACAACTGAGAGAAAGAGAGAGAGAGAATTCCCTGACTGACTCTCCAAAAAGGGCCATTTGCATTTTTTTTATTATGCAAGGTGCAATAATTGATATTGATATCAGGGGCAGGATATGCAGGTCAAGATGGGCAAAGCACATGAACGGTAGAGTTTACAGGCTATCATATCTCATTACAAAGATTATCTTGCATAATGACTCACCACTAGGTCATTATGCCACTAGGTTGGTGGCAACAGGCTGTAAATCAATTGATTAGCATTCCTTCCCAATGTGGGACACTCCACAACCTTGCTTTGATATTTTGAACACCCTAAGGCAAGTTCCTGGAAGTCTTTAAGTAAAATGCATGTTTAAACATTACGAGGGTGCAGAGGACAATATAGAATGACTATTGTCTTTGTATAACTAAAGCTTTAGGGTTAGTGGAATGTCATCAGTGAGTTAGTGGTGTGGATTTTGTGATTAGATGAATGCATAAGAGAATGCTCTCTCTAGTGGGAGTGAGTTGAAGCCATGCCTGCTTCCTACTCTATCTCATTCCCCTTTGAGAGATTTTATCCTCTTTATTATTATTATTATTATTATTATTATTATTATTATTATTTGAGACAGAATCTCACTCTCACCCAGGCTGGAGTTCAGTGGTGTGATCTCGGCTCACTGCAACCTCCGCCTCCTGGGTTTAAGGAATTCTCATGTCTCAGCCTCCTGAGTAGTTTAGATTACAGGCATGTGCCAGCACATCTGGCTAATTTTTGTACTTTTAGTAGAGATGGGATTTCATCATGTTGGCCAGGTTGGTCTCTAACTCCTGGCATCAAGTGATCCACCCATCTCAGCCTCCAAAAGTGCTGGGATTACAGGCATGAACCACCACTTCCAGCTTTGTCCTTCTTATTGTTAAGGAGAGAGGGCCAAAACTCTCGTTTTCTGAAGCTACTTCATGCTGAATAGGATTCTTATTCTTGACTCACCATAGAGGGCATGAAACTGTCTTACTGACTACTCTAAAGACATCTAGAGACTTGAAACTATTTAAGCCTTGAAGTCATAAACCATCTGCACCCCCTGTTGAATATAGTAAATAACCATTTTAAAAATCAAATAGCTCCCAGTGATAATAAAATTATTAAGAACAGTTTAATAATGCATATAAGAAGAGATCAGATGCTATTTGGAATTTAAATGAATAGCCTGGAAAAGCAGTCTCCTATTTTCTGAAACATAAGACTAACAGGCCTTTAATAGGAGACATTTCTATGGAAACAGAAGAAAAACCAACATTAATGGCAGACTTAAACAATCCTACTGCAGAGAAGAAAGGCAGTGGCAATGTGACACCTTCTTTCCTGTATCACAAGAAATAAACTTAAGCTTTCAGGGACTCAGGAAAAAGATAGAAGTAATTCCATTGTGTTCAAGTCAGAAAAATGGAAGAAACATTGGTTTGGAGACTTGTAGCCCAGAAAATATTTAAGATTCAGTCTAAATTTTAGAAAAGAATATTTCAAAAAGTCAATAACAATTGACAAGATTAGAATCCAATAGCAGGTGTATTATAATTTTTCCCTCTCCAGTCTCTCATTTTTATCAAAGAGGAATCATAGTAGGACCAACTTGTTTGCAGTATGTTTTAGTCTTATTATACTTTGCCTAATTATTTCAAAAATGCAGCAAGAATAATTATTTACCACATATGCTCTCTTTTATGGAACTTTTACCATAAGGAATCTGAGATTAGACTTTTTAAAGACTTGAGCCTAGCCACAAATTTATCTGGGCATGCAAATACTTGTATGAATTAGGTAAATTCATTTCCTCTGTAGGTCTCCAAGATAACTTGAGGCTTCTGAACCTGTTAGAAAGTAACATTCTTTACCTACCACAGGTCAGGAACCCTAGACAAGGACTGCTTAGAGAGGTATGAGGCCAGTTTTTCCAAGGCAGTTTTAGCATCTGCATAAATCAACTTTGAATTCTTAAAGCAGTCTGTTTATATTTGAGATTCTGTCATTCCAGTCAAACCCTTGGTAAAATATCAGTTTCTCCAATTGTGTCCTGTTACAACAGAAAACAGATTCTTATTGCATTTATGCAAACAACTATATTGTGATAAGTTAAGAATATTCACAAATAGTTTCCAAATTCTGCAGAAATCTGATGGAGAGAAAGAAATATGCTCCAAATTTTGCTCACAGGAGTATAATTTACTCAATTGTTAAAAGCTGTAGATAGCTCAAAAGAAAAACTTTTCCTGACTCTGAGAAACAAACCGAACAGATCTGCAATATCTCAAGCAAAAAGTCATAAAAGGATTATTTCATTCTTCTATTAGTCTATTCTATGTAATTAACTCCGGTTTGGCTCAATATTTCTAACCACATTTGTTCTCAAAGAGAGTCTTGGAAGTTGTTCTTGCTATTCTAATCATCCGATCTCCAAGGTTATTAGAGACATGCATTGAAGAGTCCTTTTCAGAATCCTATAGCTGATTATAAATGGTGTTTTGAAAAGAACCAAAACAAGACAATTGTGTGTGGGCAACCAAAGTCTTAGTGTTGCAGGAATTAAGGGACTGGAGAGACCCATGGGTGGAACAGTAGGATTTTATTGGGTGCACCTTGACAGAGCAGATTAACATCCAAAGGCTGAGCCCCGAACAAAGACAGGGCTTGACTTTTATACATGCCACCAAAGGGGGTTGGTCAGCTAGTGGCCTGAAACCTGCAGAGTGGGCAAGCAAGCTTACAAAAGCAGAACAAAGGCAGTTTATCAAACAGTAACAGATGTTGCAACTTAGGCATGTCTTGTGACCTCTGCCCTACTGCACAGAAGGAAAACAGGAACTCACAAAATCCTTACAAACTTGCAGAAATAGTTAACAGTTATGAGAGCAGAACAAAGAATAATGGTATGGGGAGAAAACTCCATGGTGGGAAACTGATAAGAAAAACTTGTTTTTCTCATCCCTGCTCCTGGAGCCCATTCCTTCTGGGCTCTCCCTGGCTCTGCTGATAATGCTATCAAAACCCTGACAGAGTACTGCTTATCACTGGGCGTTGGACTAGGCTTCAGAGTGAGTCCGCCCAGTACAGAAAACTTGTTTTTCCTTTTACATCTCCTGATTCATTAGGACAGCCATGATAAAAATCACAATTAAAAAGGAAATCTGAGCATATCTGTAGCACACAGTAATTTTACATAATAGTCATATTTACTATTGATAGCATATACTGAGACATATTATAATTTAGGAAGATTATATAATTTTGGAATGCAAACTAATAACATAGAAATAGAACCTAAAGAAAGTTAAACAACACTTTATATTTGACAATGTTTCCTCTATGGTTTTAAAATACCAAATAAACTGAATATATCTCTTTTGGACTTTAGAGGATCTAATACTTAATTTGATCTTGGGAAATTTGCCAAATATCAAAAGGTTTAAAACACTTGCTATTAAAAAATAGAATTTCAAGTCACTATAAGACATTTATTTAGCCAAATAATAACTCAAGATTTTAAAAAGACAAAATCCTTTACTTATTGATAGAGGAGAGACTCAGTTCTCCAAGCATGAAGACCCAAAAAGGACAGAATAAGGCCAAATGAATCTGTCTCTTACCTCTCTCTTTTTTCCTGTAGTCTATTTCAAAGGCAAACAAAAATCTATTATCTCTCTATATGATATGAAGATCTTGTTTCAAAGGGAAAACCAGATTTTACCCTTGAATTACTATATTTATACTAAAGCAAATTTTAATAAAAGTTTTATAAACCTGAAGCTATCTGATTTTAACTAGTTTAACCATAAGGTGAGATTTTCATAACCTTTTATAATCTGTTACATTTAATTGCTAAAGAGTAGATCAACGCTCTAAAAAAACCCTGTTTTTCTGAGACATGGGCAAAGATTCTGGCTCTGCATCAGTATGCTTTTATTTTAATGTCTAATACATGAAAAAACTAAATAAAATCATTTAAATTTTGGCCAGCTTGCTCATACACAAATATTTTCACATGATTCATCTTTCGTAAACCTTATGCAACTGTCTTAAAACTTGTTATATTCTTTCTTTAAACTCAAGACAATTCTTAAATCCTCTAAATTAGACAAAATTATTTTCTCTTAAAAAAACACACTTCCATACCTTTTAATCAAAAACACATAAGTTTTATTTTTAGTGTAAACAATTTTAATTATGTATCAGATGCAGAGTCTAAGACCTGCACTTGATACATAAGCCAAAGAATTCAGGGTTCAGGGGTAGTAACAAAAGCATCTCGAAAAGACAGTATCAGGTGTATTAACAAAAGCATCTAACAAATGACAAAATCACAGATAATGTCTGACTCTTCTAGCAAAGCTGTGGCTAACTTCATATGTCCCCAGGCTAACCTATAATCTAATAGCTCTAAAGCAGGAAAGTTGAAAAAGTATCACAAGTCATACAAGCAGTTTATAAATTTAAAGTGAGGCAGTATAGGAAAAAAATTCAGCCCTGACAAGTCACACAGATGAAATGGTAACTGCTAAATCAAAGTGTCTAAAGATGCTTCCTTATATATTTTAAGTTTGGCCTAAAGCTTTCTCTGTACGTGGTGAACTATAACCTAAATGGAGGTGTAAGCAGACTGTAACCTACTCTTGTGCCAGTCACTGAGTTGTGGCCAAAGGGGGCCAACTGTTCAAACTGTGTTCAAAGTGAGCACACACTGAGGTCTAATAAATCCAGCTGTTTCTGTACCTCACTTCCATTTTCAGTACATCACTTTCCTTTTCTTGTCCATAAATCTCTTTCCACCATGTGGCTTTGCTAGAGTCTCTTTTAGCCTACTCTGGTTCTGTAGACCACCTAATTCGTGAATTATTCTTTGCTCAATTAAACTCTGTTAAATTAACTTTGGCTAAGGTCTTTCTTTTAACATAACCAAAGTCCTGACGGGCCTTAAATGCCAGGGCATATTTCCTCCCTACGTTAAGTCAAATGGCAGGAAGAGGGAACCTTTTCTAACTTAGCTGACCGTGCTAAATTCCTAACCATGAAAGGAAAAACTTAACCATGTATCTCTTGGAGTGATGTTTTCCAAGGTCGCTGAAGCAAGGCTCTGGCATCCCGAAAAGAACCTGACCAGATCCAACTGTCTGAAGACCAGATGGACTTCTGCACTAATCTTTCATTGATGTTCTCCTCATCGTGTCTCATTGTCATACTAAAATCTCCACCATGGTGGGGCTTATACGCCATTTTCTGGTCATATGAGGCATGTCTGAGCATGTTGTCCTACTGCGCAAGCGCAGAGAAGCCCCTGCCAAAACGTGGTTGTAATTGTTCTCTTTCCCACCCCGAATTCCTTAAAATGACAGAAACTGAGTCCCTTCAGAGAGCTAGCACCAGGATCCCTTTCCTGAGCACTTTCTTCTTGTGCTCTCCAGCCAGAAGCCTATTAAACCTTGTGTGAGCAAAAGCTCTGTTTGGCCTTGAGTTAATTTTCGCTTACACAAAAGCCAAAGAACTCAGAGTTTAGGGGTAGTAACAAAAGCATCTAGAAAAGACAGTATCAGGTACATTAACAAAAGCATCTAACAAAGGCAGTAATTGAGACCAAATGCCTAAATTTTGAAAATGTTTTTATCTTTTTTAAACCAATGGCCTTTAAAACTATTTTTATTTACCAAAGATTACTAACGTAATGTGAACTAAAAGGCATTAAAGGTTTTCTTTCTTGTGACAAAGTATTTTATTTAAATGCTTATTTTTTAACCCAACTAATTTGAACTCTTATATATTTTGGCAGTCAAACATCATAGACATAGCACATATAAATACACAGTTAGACAGAAGCAGATCTGGTAGAATTGCTAGTCATTGTATGCATACTGCCATTAGACATTTTAAAAAGTATAAACAATTCAGACTACTGAGAAATAAAAAGAAAACAAAAAAAACTTCTTTCTCAAAAAACAAAATCCAAGAGAAGAAAAAAACATAAAGGACTTTTAAATGTATATATAGCTTGGATATCCCCTTGTAATTAAGCTGACTTTTAATCATAGAACTCTTTTTTAAAAAATCCTTTTAAATATTTTATTACCAGATTTATACAGAACAAATAGCCAATACCTCTGGCTTTTTAGTCTTTTTATTGTCCCCAACACTATTTTCCCAAGTGAAACCAACAAGCCTTAACTAAGGGTATGACTTAACCATGGGTGCACAAGGTATCTCCAAAGAGATGGCAAACAGTTTTTACAAGATCTAGAATCACCCCAAAGGTAGCTCAGAGAAAGGAAAATTTAAGATCAGAAGTCCGAAGCCATTCACAGAGGAGAAAAGAATCAATAAATGCAAAGATCACACAAATATTAAACCAGAAATGATTCCTTCCCTAAGCTGTGGACTGAATCAAGGTCACCATTGTGAAAGGGCAAAGCCTTAGCTACTGAGCTACAGATAGGGGAGTTGCCATCATTTTTCCCAGAAGAAATCGAACGCAGTCATTTTTGAGCTTGCGAAGGCTTTTAACCCCTCAAGGGAATTATTTGGGATAACCATGACATTATAAGGTGTCCTTTCAGACCAGATGACTTAGAGGAATTAAAAAATTATCACCCTCCGGATGACAGAGACCAAAAGAAAGTACCTCCATGTTGTCACAGTCAAGTTCTGAAGGGCATAAAACAAGATGAGAGGGAAATCTCACCCAGTTTTTGTTTTAGGGACCCCCAGCAAAGTTTGTAGTTGACCAGTCTGCCGGGCCGGCTGGAACAGTGGGCAAACAGGGGTACTAGGCCCACATTCTATCCTGTGGCACCCCTCTCCATGACACAATGACACAGAATGAGAAATTCGTAGCACACAGGACATCCGATTCACTTCAGTCTAACAATAGTCTCACAAATCCTTTAACCCATTAATTAAAACCTTGTAGAGGAAACAAGCAATGATTTTTACCGTTCACACAGCCAGTCTGCACAGAGAGACAGAGTCCAGAAGCCTGGCTGGTAGGAAATTCTTACGCTTTTGCTGGCATGCCAGGTTACTGAGTTTCCTTTGTCTATAGCTTTTGGAAGAGCAGAGCAGTTTTGATGATCCTGTTTGCTATACCATAGCTGTGGGGTCCAAGCCACATTACAAAGGAAAATCATCCTTTTCTGTTTCATGAACCCTTAGGCAAAAGCCTCTCATTTTTGCAAGATGCTGCTCAGTGGGCTTCAGGGGGAAATACGATGTCAAATTAGATACAGACAAGTGAAAATGGATCAGGGTGTGAGTGATGAAATCTTCGGACCCATGTGCTCTCAATTTTCTCTTTACAAAGACAGCACTGAGAGTAGGTAGGCTTGCACGCTTGAATAGATTGATGTCAGAAAAGACCACAGGCCTCCATTCCCCACAAGGTGTAGCAAAGGGAAAGAAAGTACTTAGAAGACTTAAAGAATATCATAGGGCCCAGAGACAGGGCACCAGACAGAGTTTCCTACCAGCTGAACTGATCGGCTGTTTGAATCTACTCTGCATGGATGCGTATTCAGGCTGAGCCAATGAAGTTAATGAAAAATGAAGGAAGAGAAGGAGGAAGGAAAAAGAAGAAAAAAGAAAGAGACAACAAATAGAGGATAGGAGAGGAGAGAAAGTGTTGTCTAGGTCGTGGTGGCAAGGAGTCTTGAAGCCACAGGAAAAACTCACTCTGAATAAAGATTCAGGTGGCCACCCAACAGCCACGAAGTGGTCACGTTCAGCAGTCCTGCTGGCTCACGAGCCTCCCACATTGGGGAAGAAAATACTTCCCCATGATCCCAGTCAAGCCCCAAAAGAATATGTTACCAATCATTGTTCTTGGGCCCTCAATGCAATAGAAATTGACATGAGGCCAAAAACGGTTTCCCAGACAAGGCTTCACTGGCACTTAAGCCTGGGCATAAGGCGGGCAGCACAACAAAGAGAGAGAGAGAGCTCCCTGACTGACTCTCTGAAAGGCGCCAGTTGGGATTTTTTTTTTTTTTTTTTTTTTGCAAACTGTGGTATTTGATACCAGTGGTAGAGTATGGAGGCTGGGCTGGGCAAAACATGTGATGGGTAGGGTATGCAAAAGTCAGTGTATCAGGTTGCAATGCTTATCTTGAGTAATGGGACACCTAGTGGTCTGGTCAGTGGGAACAAGGCTGTAAATCGATTGATTAGCATTTCTTCCTGAAGTGAAACACTCTGCAAACTTGGTTCAGTATTTTGGATCTCTTAAGTCCAGTTCCTGGAATTCTTTAAGTAAAAGGCATGGGTAGACATTCCAAGAGCACAGGAGAACAATACAGAATGGCTATTTTCTTTGTATAACAAAACCTTGCCTCAGAGACTTTTGAACCAGAGCGACCCCATCTTGAATGGGGGCCAGGTAAAATAAGGCTGAGACCTACTGGGCTGCATTCCCAAGAGGTTAGGCATCCTAAGTCACAGATGACATAGGGGGTCAACACAAGATACAGGTCACAAAGACCTTGCTAATAAAGCAGGTTGCAGTAAAGAAGCCAACTAAAATCCACCAAAACCAAGATTGCAAAGAAAGTGACCTCTGGTAGTTCTCACTGCTCATTATATGCTTATTATAATGTATTAGCATGCTAAAAGACTCCCACCAGGTCCAAGCCAGTTTGTAAATGCCATGGCAATGTCAAGAAGTTACCCTATATGGTCCAAAAAGAGGAGGAGCCTTTGGTTCTGAAAATTGCCCACTCCTTGTTTAGCATGTAATCAAGAAGCAACAATAAGTATAAGGAGCTAATCAGCCCATGCTGCTGCTCTGCCTATGGAGTAGGCATTCTTCATTCCTTTGCTTTCTTAATAAACTTGCTTTCTCTTTACTCTGTATATGGATTCTTTCTTGTGCGAGATACAGGAATCCTCTCTTGGGGTCTGGATCGAGACCGCTTTTGGGTAACACTTTGGGTTAGCAAGTATGTAATCAGCAAGGTAGTGGTGTGAGTTTTGTGATTAGTAGGAATGCATAAAGGAATGTTCTGGCAGGAGTGCACTGAAGCCAAACCCTATTCCTACTCTGTCTCAGTTAGACCTTACATTCCTAAGCTGCAGGGCTAGCTGTGAAATACACACAGCAGTTTCTCAGTAATTTCAAAGGTGGGGTCAAAGCATCACTTGTGTAAACTGTGAAGTCAAGAAATGAATACAGCACACTGCTAACTAGCTGACTGCAAAATTCTGGGATACAGAAATAATAGAGATAATTTTGGGGGTCATTACTTGGTTTCTTTATACCTTTGCTATAAATACTATTTTATATAGATTTAAATAACAAAATAATGTGGCCTATTCAATCAATAGAAATATTTAGAAGTAAGCAAACAAAAATCCTCACCAGTTTACAAAAAATGTCACTTTTACTGGGATTTAGTATTTTTATTTTTCTATTTACACTACTCTACAAATATTTTCAGGCCTATATATGAAACACTCTTATTCCCTCTTTTTTTCCCCAGTGACCTAAGAAAACATGGACATTTCTATACCCTCGAATCTATTTCACATAATCCTCTATTAAATTTAAATCAGAATAAAAATCAGAAATCTATATCTCTCTTAATTTTCTGATGTGCTAATTTACTTCTGCTTTACATATAACTAGCTAGTCTATATGTGAATAGAAGAAAATTGTCATTTTAAATCATAATTTACCAATTCTAACATCTAGCATCTTAATCCGTATTTTAAGATTTTAAAACATTGTCTTAAGTGAATAAATTCTTTGATTTCTGGATGAATTAATTCAAAACTGTTTAAAATCTTGGATACAATTCTACTGTACAGTCAAAATGGAAAACCACTGGTAGTGAAACAGGAAAAGTTTTGTTGTCCCCCTCGCAGGACATGCCACTGGGGTGCAGCTCACTTCTTCAGTGCCCCACTGCTCAAACATCTGGGGGAGCATATATATAGGCAGGCTGTGGGACTTACCCCAAAGCAGTGTCTAGAGGTGTATGTTTACAGCTCCTGAAAGCCCAGTGGGCATGTGCCACTGAGAGGTGACAGCGTGCTGGCAGTCCTCACAGCCCTCACTCGCTCTTGGCGCCTCCTCTGCCTAGGCTCCCACTTTGGCGGCACTTGAGGTGCCCTTCAGCCCACGGCTGCACTGTGGGAGCCCCTTTCTGGGCTGGCCAAGGCCGAAGCCCACTCCCTCAGCTTGCAGGGAGGTGTGGAGGCAGAGGCGCGACCCGGAACGCGGGCTGCGTGCTGCGCTTGCGGGCCAGTTGGAGTTCCGGGTGGACGTGGGCTTGGCGGCCCCGCACTCTGAGCAGCCGGCCGGCCCTGCTGGCCCCGGGCAACGAAGGACTTAGCACCCGGGGCCAGCGGCTGCGGAGGGTGTACTGGGTCCCCCAGCAGTGCCAGCCCACCGGCGCTGCGCTCGATTTCTCGCCGGGCCTTAGCTGCCTTCCCGGGGGGCAGGCCTCAGGACTGCATCCCGCCATGCCTGAGCCTTCCCCCGCCTCCCTGGGTTCCTGTGCAGCGGGAGCCTCTCCAACGAGCGCCGCCCCCTGCTCCACGGCGTCCAGTCCCATCGACCGCCCAAGGGCTGAGGAGTGCCACCGCATGGCGCAGGACTGGCAGGCAGGTCCACCTGCAGCCCCCATGCGGGATCCACTGGGTGAAGCCAGCTGGGATCCTGAGTCTGGTGGGGACGTGGACAGTCTTTATGTCTAGCTCAGGGATTGTAAACATACCAACCAGCACCCTGTGTCTAGCTCAGGGTTTGTGAGTGCACCAATCTACACTCTGTATCTAGCTGCTCTGGTGGGGCCTTGGAGAACCTTTATGTCTAGCTCAGGGATTGTAAATACACCAATCAGCACTCTGTATCTAGCTCAAGGTTTGTAAACACACCAATCAGCACCCTGTGTCTAGCTCAGGGTTTGCCAATGCACCAATGGACACTCTGTATCTAACTGCTCTGGTGGGGCCTTGGAGAACCTGTGTGTGGAAACTCTGTATCTAACTAATCTGATGGGGACGTGGATAACCTTTGTATCTAGCTCAGGGATTGTAAATGCACCAATCAGCGCCCTGTCAAAACAGGCCACTGGGCTCCACCAATCAGCAGGATGTGGGTGGGGCCAGAGAAGAGAATAAAAGCAGGCTGCCCCAGCCAGTAGTGGCAACCCGCTGGGGTCTCCTTCCACAGTGTGGAAGCTTTGTTCTTTCAGTCTTTGCAATAAATCTTGCTACTGCTCACTCTTTGGGTCCACACTGCTTTTATGAGCTGTAACACTCACCGCGAAGATCTGCAGCTTCTCTCCTGAAGCCAGTGAGACCACGAGCCCACCAGGAGGAACGAACAACTCCAGACGTGCTGCCTTAAGAGCTGTAACACTCACAGCGAAGGTCTGCAGCTTCACTCCTGAGGCAGCGAGACCATGAACCCACCAGAAGGAAGAAACTCCGAACACATTTGAGCATCAGAAGGAACAAACTCCAGACACGCCACCTTAAGAGCTGTAACACTCACCGCCAGGGCCGCAGCTTCATTCTTGAAGTCAGTGAGACCAAGAACCCACCAATCCCGGACACACTGCTCTGTGCTCTTTTAGTTTTTCCATTGATAGGCAGCTTACCTTAACCAGCTCAGTTAGACCCTCTACCTTGTTGCAAGGACAGAGAGCTTTTTGTATCTCAGGTTCTTGCTTTGGTGTACCGGAAGAATCGGATCACACCTGGGCTTGGAGAATAAGTGCAAGTTTTTATTGAGTGGAGGTAGCTCTCAGCAGATGGGGGAAGCCCGAAGGGTGACGGGAGTGGGAAGGTTTTCCCCTGGAGTCAGCTGCTCAGCGTCCTGGGCTCTCCTGGGACTGTCCCAGTCAAACTCCATGTCATTCTGCTTCTACCAAGCAGTGGCCTGCTGTGTGCTGGTGCCTGTCGGTGCATTTCTCCCGACAGAAGCCTGTGTGTTCTTCCTCTGATGTGATCCTCTGGACTTCCAGCCGTCTGTGTGTCTGCCTGTTAGGGTCTCAGGGGTTTTATAGGCACAGGATGGGTGCGTGTCATGCCAGGGTGGTCTTGGGAAATGCAATATTTGGGCAGGAAAACAAAAATGCCTCTCCTCATCTAGGTTCCTGGAGATGGAGCCCTAGCCAGGGACCATGCCCTTCCCGTTTCCATATCATTTAAAGGGACCATGCCTTTCTCTACCCAGCACAGCGACCGGTAAGAACAATTTCTTTGAAGAGTTATTGCTGAGTGTCCTGTGTCTTTCTTTGTAAAAAGACAATATCTCGTGTTCTGATACTGAATTCTTTCAAGCTGTGTCGACTCATGAAAAAAACAAGTCTCATTTGGCTGAAATCTCTACCACTTTTCTTTTACAAGATGAGAGGAAACTGAAAGAATGTAACCCAAACTTTTTTTCTCATGCAACTAAAAATTTTTCCTCCAAATTTTTCCCAAAAAAAGTTAGTGTAGTGGAAGATTTATTTGAAAATATTTCTTACACCTCAATTTTATGTTTTTACTCTTGACCTCTTGAAATGAATTACATCTGGACCTGAAATAGTGCTTGAAAATATTAATAGCACACATATATAAAGATTTTGTTAGCGATATTAGTTATATTAATTGGTAATTTATTTATATTAAATTAACAGTCAGTAAACAGTCCCATTTACCTATCACCTATGGCTGCTTTTGCACTACTGCAACTGAAACACTCCACTTAGAAAACAAATGGCTATTTTTTTTTTATAATGCATAACTCAGTGCTTGCTTGAATTAGTTTCTTAATTCCAGGAAGTAGCCTTGGGATAGAACAAAGGCTGTTGAATGCACCCCTATCCCTGGAAGTACAATGCTGAGCAGTTAATCTTCCATCCTGCTGAGGGCTAGCTGATACCAGCCAGACCACTAGGTGGCTCATTACTCAAGATAATCAGAGCAAGACATGCTGACCTGCCAGTTTCCCAAGTCCCTTCCCCTTTGAAACCCCTTTGGTCAGCCAAAGGAGGGCGAGATGGTCTTTGAGACATTATCCTGCCATCTTGGAGACTTTATCCTGCCATCTCTTCAGGCTGTCAGCTGAATAAACCTGTTCTTTCTTCTACCAGCTCCTCGTCTCTCGAGTTTAGGCTTTTGATTGGCAAACACCCAAACCTGGGTTCAGTTTCACTACAATCACAAAATTGAGTAGTTGTGACAGAGACTGTATGGCCTGTCAAACTCAAAATAGTGATTATCTGATCTCTTACTGAAAAAGTTTGTCAACTCCTGTATTAAATAAAAAAATGAACACACACACATACGTACATGCAAGCACGTCTCTAAGACACCACAGATAATTGGAAAGGATGTGTGAGCTGAAATGATCAGCGTATAAGTAGAAAAAAAATGCCTGGACACATCAAAATAATGCTTTGAAAAGAATGTCACCACACTTACTTTTTTGACCTGTCAGGAATTTATAAAATGTCTTAAGAGGTTTAAGACCATAATTTAATTCAAGGCTAAGAATTTTTTTTTTTTTTTTGCTATGTAGAAGATGAATTGGAAAGAAACAATCATAACAGAAAGTGAAACCACTTAGAAAGTACACAGAAAAGAGTTCACACAGCAGGCTTGATGTTGTTTACAACACTGGCTCTTGCTCAGCATCTCAGAATTGGGCTTTTTGTAGTGTTAAAAGATGAAGGTATTTCACTGTGCCTAGTTTGTTTGTGCAAACAATATGATTTATACTCAACACTTGCTTTCACTTGGGAGTCTGGAGTTAGATAACAATTTAAGCTGTATGACTAGGTCTTTTTTTTTTAATTTTCTTTTTTTTTATTATTATACTTTAAGTTTTAGGGTACATGTGCACATTGTGCAGGTTAGTTACATATGTATACATGTGACATGCTGGTGCGCTGCACCCACTAACTCATCATCTAGCATTAGGTATATCTCCTAATGCTATCCCTCCCCCCTCCCCCCCACCCCACAACAGTCCCCAGAGTGTGATGTTCCCCTTCCTGTGTCCATGTGATCTCATTGTTCAGTTCCCACCTATGAGTGAGAATATGCGGTGTTTGGTTTTTTGTTCTTGCGATAGTTTACTGAGAATGATGATTTCCAATTTCATCCATGTCCCTACAAAGGACATGAACTCATCATTTTTTATGGCTGCATAGTATTCCATGGTGTATATGTGCCACATTTTCTTAATCCAGTCTATCATTGTTGGACATTTGGGTTGGTTCCAAGTCTTTGCTATTGTGAATAATGCCGCAATAAACATACGTGTGCATGTGTCTTTATAGCAGCATGATTTATAGTCCTTTGGGTATATACCCAGTAATGGGATGGCTGGGTCAAATGGTATTTCTAGTTCTAGATCCCTGAGGAATCGCCACACTGACTTCCACAATGGTTGAACTAGTTTACAGTCACACCAATAGTGTAAAAGTGTTCCTATTTCTCCACATCCTCTCCAGCACCTGTTGTTTCCTGACTTTTTAATGATTGCCATTCTAACTGGTGTGAGATGGTATCTCATTGTGGTTTTGATTTGCATTTCTCTGATGGCCAGTGATGATGAGCATTTTTTCATGTGTTTTTTGGCTGCATAAATGTCTTCTTTTGAGAAGTGTTGTTCATGTCCTTCGCCCACTTTTTGATGGGGTTTTTTGTTTTTTTCTTGTAAATTTGTTTGAGTTCATTGTAGATTCTGGATATTAGCCCTTTGTCAGATGAGTAGGTTGCGAAAATTTTCTCCCATTTTGTAGGTTGCCTGTTCACTCTGATGGTAGTTTCTTTTGCTGTACAGAAGCTCTTTAGTTTAATTAGATCCCATTTGTCAGTTTTGGCTTTTGTTGCCATTGCTTTTGGTGTTTTAGACATGAAGTCCTTGCCCATGCCTATGTCCTGAATGGTAATGCCTAGGTTTTCTTCTAGGGTTTTTATGGTTTTAGGTCTAACGTTTAAGTCTTTAATCCATCTTGAATTGATTTTTGTATAAGGTGTAAGGAAGGGATCCAGTTTCAGCTTTCTACATATGGCTAGCCAGTCTTCCCAGCACCATTTATTAAATAGGGAATCCTTTCCCCATTGCTTGTTTTTCTCAGGTTTGTCAAAGATCAGATAGTTGTAGATATGCAGCGTTATTTCTGAGGGCTCTGTTCTGTTCCATTGATCTATATCTCTGTTTTGGTGCCAGTAACATGCTGTTTTGGTTACTGTAGCCTTGTAGTATAGTTTAAAGTCAGGTAGTGTGATGCCTCCAGCTTTGTTTTTTTGGCTTAGGATTGACTTGGCAATGCGAGCTCTTTTTTGGTTCCATATGAACTTTAAAGTAGTTTTTTCCAATTCTGTGAAGAAAGGCATTGGTAGCTTGATGGGGATGGCATTGAATCTGTAAAATACCTTGGGCAGTATGGCCATTTTCACGATATTGATTCTTCCTACCCATGAGCATGGAATGTTTTTCCATTTGTTTGTATCCTCTTTTATTTCCTTGAGCAGTGGTTTGTAGTTCTCCTTGAAGAGGTCCTTCACATCCCTTGTAAGTTGGATTCCTAGGTATTTTATTCGCTTTGAAGCACTTGTGAATGGGAGTTCACTCATGATTTGGCTGTTTGTCTGTTGTTGGTGTATAAGAATGCTTGTGATTTTTGTACATTGATTTTGTATCCTGAGACTTTGCTGAAGTTGCTTATCAGCTTAAGGAGATTTTGGGCTGAGACGATGGGGTTTTCTCGATATACAATCATGTCGTCTGCAAACAGGGACAATTTGGCTTCCTCTTTTCCTAATTGAATACCCTTGATTTCCTTCTCCTGCCTAATTGCCCTGGCCAGAACTTCCAACACTATGTTGAATAGGAGTGGTGAGAGAGGGCATCCCTGTCTTGTGCCAGTTTTCAAAGGGAATGCTTCCAGTTTTTGCCCATTCAGTATGATATTGGCTGTGGGTTTGTCATAGATAGCTCTTATTATTTTGAAATACGTCCCATCAATACCTAATTTATTGAGAGTTTTTAGCATGAAGGGTTGTTGAATTTTGTCAAAGGCCTTTTCTGCATCTATTGAGATAATCATGCAGTTTTTGTCTTTGGCTCTGTTTATGTGCTGGATTACATTTATTGATTTGCGTATATTGAACCAGCCTTGCATCCCAGGGATGAAGCCCACTTGATCATGGTGGATAAGCTTTTTGATGTGCTGCTGGATTCGGTTTGCCAGTATTTTATTGAGGATTTTTGCATCAATGTTCATCAAGGATATTGATCTAAAATTCTCTTTTTTGGTTGTGTCTCTGCCCGGCTTTGGTATCAGGATGATGCTGGCCTCATAAAATGAGTTAGGGAGGATTCCCTCTTTTTCTATTGATTGGAATAGTTTCAGAAGGAATGGTACCAGTTCCTCCTTGTACCTCTGGTAGAATTCAGCTGTGAATCCATCTGGTCCTGGACTCTTTTTGGTTGGTAAGCTATTGATTATTGCCACAATTTAAGCTCCTGTTATTGGTCTATTCAGAGATTCAACTTCTTCCTGGTTTAGTCTTGGAAGAGTGTCTGTGTCGAGGAATTTATCCATTTCTTCTAGATTTTCTAGTTTATTTGCGTAGAGGTGTTTGTAGTATTCTCTGATGGTAGTTTGTATTTCTGTGGGATCGGTGGTGATATCCCCTTTGTCATTTTTTATTGCGTCTATTTGATTCTTCTCTCTTTTTTTCTTTATTAGTCTTGCTAGCGGTCTATCTATTTTGTTGATCCTTTCAAAAAACCAGCTCCTGGATTCATTATTTTTTTGAAGGGTGTTTTGTGTCTCTATTTCCTTCAGTTCTGCTCTGATTTTAGTTATTTCTTTCATTCTGCTAGCTTTTGAATGTGTTAGCTCTTGCTTTTCTAGTTCTTTTAATTGTGATGTTAGGGTGTCAATTTTGGATCTTTCCTGCTTTCTCTTGTGAGCATTTAGTGCTATAAATTTCCCTCTACACACTGCTTTGAATGCGTCCCAGAGATTCTGGTATGTTGTGTCTTTGTTCTCGTTGGTTTCAAAGAACATCTTTATTTCTGCCTTCATTTCCTTATGTACCCAGTAGTCATTCAGGAGCATGTTGTTCAGTTTCCATGTAGTTGAGCAGTTTTGAGTGAGATTCTTAATCCTGAGTTCTAGTTTGATTGCACTGTGGTCTGAGAGATAGTTTGTTATAATTTCTGTTCTTTTACATTTGCTAAGGAGAGCTTTACTTCCAACTATGTGGTCAATTTTGGAATAGGTGTGGTGTGATGCTGAAAAAAATGTATATTCTGTTGATTTGGGGTGGAGAGTTCTGTAGATGTCTATTAGGTCCGCTTGGTGCAGAGCTGAGTTCAATTCCTGGGTATCCTTGTTGACTTTCTGTCTCATTGATCTGTCTAATGTTGACAGTGCAGTGTTAAAGTCTCCCATTATTAATGTGTGGGAGTCTAAGTCTCTTTGTAGGTCACTCAGGACTTGCTTTATGAATCTGGGTGCTCCTGTATTGGGTGCACATATATTTAGGATAGTTAGCTCTTCTTGTTGAATTGATCCCTTTACCATTATGTAATGGTCTTCTTTGTCTCTTTGATCTTTGTTGGTGTAAAGTCTGTTTTATCAGAGACTAGGATTGCAACCCCTGCCTTTTTTTGTTTTCCATTTGCTTGGTAGATCTTCCTCCATGCTTTTATTTTGAGCCTATGTGTGTCTCTGCACGTGAGATGGGTTTCCTGAATACAGCACACTGATGGGTCTTGACTATCCAATTTGCCAGTCTGTGTCTTTTAATTGGAGCATTTAGTCCATTTACATTTAAAGTTAATATTGTTATGTGTGAATTTGATCCTGTCATTATGATGTTAGCTGGTGATTTTGCTCGTTAGTTGATGCAGTTTCTTCCTAGTCTCGATGGTCTTTACATTTTGGCATGATTTTGCAGCGGCTGGTACCAGTTGTTCCTTTCCATGTTTAGCGCTTCCTTCAGGACCTCTTTTAGGGCAGGCCTGGTGGTGACAAAATCTCTCAGCATTTGCTTGTCTGTAAAGTATTTTATTTCTCCTTCACTTATGAAGCTTAGTTTGGCTGGATATGAAATTCTGGGTTGAAAATTCTTTTCTTTAAGAATGTTGAATATTGGCCCCCACTCTCTTCTGGCTTGTAGGGTTTCTGCCGAGAGATCCGCTGTTAGTCTGATGGGCTTCCCTTTGAGGGTAACCCGACCTTTCTCTCTGGCTGCCCTTAACATTTTTTTCTTCATTTCAACTTTGGTGAATCTGACAATTATTTGTCTTGGAGTTGCTCTTCTCGAGGAGTATCTTTGTGGCATTCTCTGTATTTCCTGAATCTGAACGTTGGCCTGCCTTGCTAGATTGGGGATGTTCTCCTGGATAATATCCTGCAGAGTGTTTTCCAACTTGGTTCCATTCTCCCCATCACTTTCAGGTACACCAATCAGACGTAGATTTGGTCTTTTCACATAGTCCCATATTTCTTGGAGGCTTTGCTCATTTCTTTTTATTCTTTTTTCTCTAAACTTCCCTTCTCGCTTCATTTCATTCATTTCATCTTCCATCACTGATACCCTTTCTTCCAGTTGATCGCATCGGCTCCTGAGGCTTCTGCATTCTTCACGTAGTTCTCGAGCCTTGGTTTTCAGCTCCATCAGCTCCTTTAAGCACTTCTCTGTATTGGTTATTCTAGTTATACATTCTTCTAAATTTTTTTCAAAGTTTTCAACTTCTTTGCCTTTGGTTTGAATGTCCTCCTGTAGCTCAGAGTAATTTGATCGTCTGAAGCCTTCTTCTCTCAGCTCGTCAAAGTCATTCTCTGTCCAGCTTTGTTCTGTTGCTGGTGAGGAACTGCGTTCCTTTGGAGGAGGAGAGGCGCTCTGGTTTTTAGAGTTTCCAGTTTTTCTGTTCTGTTTTTTCCCCATCTTTGTGGTTTTATCTACTTTTGGTCTTTGATGATGGTGATGTACAGATGGGTTTTTGGTGTGGATGTCCTTTCTGTTTGTTAGTTTTCCTTCTAACAGACAGAACCCTCAGCTGCAGGTCTGTTGGAGTACCCTGCCGTGTGAGGTGTCAGTGTGCCCCTGCTTGGGGGTGCCTCCTAGTTAGGCTGCTCGGGGGTCAGAGGTCAGGGACCCACTTGAGGAGGCAGTCTGCCTGTTCTCAGATCTCCAGCTGCATGCTGGGAGAACCACTGCTCTCTTCAAAGCTGTCAGACAGGGACATTTAAGTCTGCAGAGGTTACTGCTGTCTTTTTCTTTGTCTGTGCCCTGCCCCCAGAGGTGGAGCCTACAGAGGCAGGCAGGCCTCCTTGAGCTGTGGTGGGCTCCACCCAGTTGGAGCTTCCTGGCTGCTTTGTTTACCTAAGCAAGCCTGGGCAATGGCGGGCGCCCCTCCCCCAGCCTCGCTGCTGCCTTGCAGTTTGATCTCAGACTGCTATGCTAGCAATCAGCGAGACTCCGTGGGCGTAGGACCCCTCCGCCCAGCCAGGTGCAGGATATAATCTCGTGGTGCGCTGTTTTTTAAGCCCGTTGGAAAAGCGCAGTATTCGGGTGGGAGTGATCCGATTTTCCAGGTGCCGTCCATCACCCCTTTCTTTGACTAGGAAAGGGAACTCCCTGACCCCAAGTGAGGCAATGCCTCGCCCTGCTTCGGCTCGCGCACGGTGCGTGCACCCACTGACCTGCGCCCACTGTCTGGCACTCCCTAGTGAGATGAACCCGGTACCTGAGATGGAAATGCAGAAATCACCCGTCTTCTGCGTCGCTCATGCTGGGAGCTATAGACCGGAGCTGTTCCTATTCAGCCATCTTGGCTCCTCCCCTCACAGCCTTTCAAAACCTTAGCATTGAGTCTCTAATGGGTTCCCTAGGAAAAACCATCCAACCCCTGTTACTGCATTTTCACTGATTAAGGAAGAATGTGCTCTGTATGGCCACTCTCAGGAAGCAGGCAGCATAAGGTCATCTGCTTCCTCCAGAATCCACTCATGTCTTTTTCCCTTATGATCTGGGTATGTATTCCTACTCAGTCTTTATAATAAACCTTAGCCATGAGTACAATTATATCCTGAGTCTCATGAGTCCTTCTAACAAATCTTCAAAATGGAGGTTTTTATGTGGACCTCTGAAAAACTATTTCAACAGTACAGGCAAATTTTAGGAAGAACAGAACTGGAGAAGTGGTATAGAGAAAGAAGGCACATACATGGAGTTTAATAATAGATCATTTTCTAGTTTCTTAAAAAGCTATTATCTTAATGAACAGCTTTGGAGAAGAAGTGAGGTATTATAGTTCCAGTATTCACCACAGAGACCTATCAAATCAGGATCCTTCAGCTAGAACTGTTTTATGAGAAGACAAAGGGGCTCAAGAACTGTCCAGAAGACATACAAAATGAAAATATGGGAGCCTTTAAGCTGTGGTTTCAGATGACTACTTTTGGAAGAAGTTGCTAACTCTAACTCCATTGCCAAGAAAACAGAAGCACAGAGGAGCTTGTGATTATGCATAAGGATGCCATATTAGGAGTAAATTATCTCACAGAAGTAATTGGTAATGAGAAAGTAAATGGATCTGTCAAAAAAAAGTTGTATTACCAACCCTTAAAATTCCCTCGGCCTTCAAAATTTGGAAACTAAAGGATATAAATATGCATCTTATGTCTTAAATCACTCTTGAGAATGGGTTTATTTGAACATCTTAGATAGAAGTTAAGTAACATACCTAGTTATAAGATCATATTGTTTAATGAAGAAATATGGAAGGTCAACTTGAAGATTTGGATCCAAGGCCTTAAAGTTTGGGTAATTGTTCCACGTCGCGGGCATGAAGTAGTATATATAAATATCCTTATACAATAGCTAAGGTGTACAACTATCTGCTTTATCGAATGTCATTAAATTTCTTACAGATCAAAGGCCCTTAAACAAAATGGTTTCTATGACTATCTTCTGTTTATTAGAAAATAATATTGGGCAAAATATGTGAATATTATTTTTAGTCCTCAATTCAAAAATTTTAGTGTTTAAAATGTTTAATTTCCTTTTGGTCTTCATAATAATATCAACCATATGATTTACAACTTATTAAGGTATTGAGTATAGTTATTATGTGATTAAGGCAAATGCACAACTACGGAGAGAATTTGGGGAAAATCTTCTCTTTGGGGGCCCAATTTATATATCTTCCAGAATTTCTTAGCTCCTTATGCTCCTGAGCTGTGTGGTATCTGATTTCCTCATTTGCTGGCTGGAGGATGAAAGCAGGGCCAAGTAAGAAGACCTGGAAGTGCCAAAAGTAAGTGTCCAACTAGTATATTTTTCTATTATTTTATATCACTGCCCCCTTACTAAACTTAGTTTATATAAATTCACAAAACTGAGATAACTTAGGGTTAGATTGTTAGATCAACTTACAAAAATCAGATATCTTAATGTCAAATTTTGTCAATCATTTCAAGGGTACAGGTAATCAAGAGACTAGGAGGAAGTTTTCATAATTCTGGGATTATCAGTGTAAAACCGCAGGTTCCTTCTTATTACATTAGATTTAATACATAAGGTCTTCAAGCAATGCATGTGGTCTTTCCACTTACAAAGAAAGACCATCTTAATCATGAACATCTCCATTTTATATCAGTTATATAACACATGTTACATTTTCTAAAAACTGTATCTCAGAGTGATGGCTTTTTGATATATCAAGTTAATTAGGCTGAACTGCATTTCCTAATTAATCAAACATTAACCTATGTGCTTCTGGAAGAAATTTTACACTTGTAAATAAAATATTTGTCTTTGTTCTATTTTCTGACCAAATATGACTTAGACTGGATAAGTTATAAACAAGAGAAATGTATTTTTCATGGGTTCTGGAGAGATAAGTCTCATATCAGAGTATCAGCATGGTCAGGTTCTGATGAGGATTGTTTTTTGGATTACAGATTGTTGGCCTTTCAATGTATCTTCAGATGCAGTAAAGCGGGAAAAGATCTCCTGAGGTTCTTTTTATATGGATACTTACATCTTTTATAAGGGCTCTATGATCATTACCTAATCACATCCCAAGGCTCTACTTCTTAATACCCTCACATTACAGGTGTAGGATTTTTGACATATAAATTTTGGGGAGACACACTTTGTCCACTGAAGGCCCCAGTCAGGTGATTTAAATTTGGAAGATATACTGAATGATCTGATTTACTCAATTGGAAGGGAGATTATCCTAGGTGGGCCTGAATAAATCAGGTGAAAAATTTGTCAAAAACACCTTAGTCTCTCTTTGGAGAGAGACTACTTGTGGACATCAACTAAAATATTAGAAGGTTATTTATTTTAAGTAATAAATAATTAAAGGCATCTATAAACAACTGATCTCCTGTCTTTATTCTCACAGTAATAGGGCAAGAAATATTTATAGTTCAGTGTGTAAACTACAGCAGTTCTGGAGAACTCTGACCCTGTATAATTTTCTCTATAGGCCGAGCATGGTGGCTCACACCTGTAATCCCGACAGTTTGGGAGGCCAAGATGGGTGGATCACTTGAGGTCAGGAGTTCGAGACCAGCCTGGCCAACATGGTGAAACCTCGTCTCTACTAAAAATACAAAAATTAGCTGGGCATGGTGGTGCACGCCTGTAATCCCAGCTACTCAGGAGGCTGAGGCAGGAGAATCACTCGAACCCGGGAAGCGGAAGTTGCAGTGGGCAGAGATCATGCCATTGCACTCCAGCCTGGGCAACAGAATGAGATTACGTTTCAAATAATAATAATAATAATAATAATAGTAATAATTTTCTCCTCTACATCTTCTATGCATCAGAACAGGGCTAGAGCCTAAGAACTCTATTTCGCTCAAGATTTTTATAGAAAACATTGGGAGTTTAACTTCTACAAGGATACTTTCATGTAAGATCCAGTCAGTGTGGAATCTGGTTATCTTTGGTTCAATTATATTTTCCTTTTCAATAAAAGTTATTTAGAAAATCTTAACATGCTTCTAATCAGACTTTTTTTTTTTTTTGACGGAGTCTCACTCTGTCACCAGGCTGGAGTGTGATGGCGTGATTTCGGCTCACCACAACCTCTGCCTCCCAGGTTCAAGTGATTCTCCCGCCTCAGCCTCCCAAGTAGCTGAGATTACAGGCATGCACCACTATGCCGGGCTAATTTTGTACTTTTATTAGAGACGGGTTTCTCCATGTTGGTCAGGCTGGTCTTGAACTCCCTACCTCAGGTGATCCGCCTGCTTCGGCCTCCCAAAGTGCTGGGATTACAGGCATGAGCCACTACGCCCAGCCAGACTATATTTTAAAAGTTATGACTATTTAAATAAGAGAAAACTATACTCTTCTCAGTATTTTTTTCATGATCAACTTTTAGCTAAGTCTACCTCAATGTCAATGTTATAATAGCCAAATAACTATTATAACAGAAATCATTTGAACAGAACACAGACTTATCAAAGTAGAATGACTAGAAAACAGCTCTCTACATGGATATGAGTGGCTGAGCCCAATGGCCATGTCACTCCATGATTCTCAGTTTCATCTTGATATGTCCTCTTGCTTCGGTTGATAGCATTGCCACCACTGAAATGGCAATAGACATATCATGACCCAGAATGTGTAAACAAAAAAGACAAGAGGAAACTTTAGGAAGAGTAGAGACTTCCCTAAATTCTCTGGAACAATCATACGTATGTAAATCATGTGGGGGGAAAATAAGAAAATAATGATTCTGAATTATAGAGTTCACATCTTTTATTCTGCAGAACTAGTTTGTTCCCTGATCATGAAAGCACAATCATTCCAATTTAAGGAAAAATTAAAATGACATAAACAAGACAAACAACTCCAAATCTAACATTTTCAATTCAAATGGGCATTAGGAATTTCAAGGCATATTGCACGAATTCTGTATTTTAAGTGTCTTCCATGCTCTATGTACTTCCATCTACCCAACAAGGACACTGATTAAAAGGCAATGATATTTAAATCTATAGGATTGGTGACAAATGAACAATTCAAGTTCTTGGACAGAAATGTTTGATAATAACCATTAAAGAATAAAGATTTTAAAAATATATTATCAGCAGGATATTTAATAAACTTCCCCACCTATCTGTATCACCCATAATTGCCTGAGTCAGGTGTAGTTAACAGTCTGACTAGTTGTTAAGCAGAAGTATAAAACACGTTTATATTCTTCAAGATGCATAAAATTAGGATTTAAAGTCCAATTTCTGGTGGTATATATTTAGACTCATGCAAGGTTTTGTGCATGGGTACTTCCTTACTATTAATATTTCAATCACTATGGTCTCATCCGAAATATAGCATCTTGGAGAACTGTGCATAAGTAGGTTCTTGCCAATATCTTTTGTAGCAATTTGAATATGCCATTTACTCAAAACTCCAAAGTGATCTATCCAAATGAATTTTAACTTGACTTATTACAAAATAGTTGTAACTAACTAATGTGTAATTATTATAATGACAGATAAAGCTAACACCAAAAAAGTATTAATTTGTGTCTTGAGTAACAACATAATAAGGCTTTAACAGATATTGAAAGTCATTTGCTCATAGAAAGAAAATGCAATGCATTGTATTCTAAATTAGATCCTGTAACAGAAAAAAGACTTCAGTGGAGAAAGCAGGTGAAATTAAAATAAAGTCAGTAGTTTAGTAGATTCTACCAACGTTAATTTTATTTATTTATGTATTCATTTATTTAGTTATTGATTTTTATCACTGTACTCTGATATTGCAAAATGTTAACACTGGGAAATCTTGGTGAAAAAAATGTACAGAGTTCTGTACATGTTGTCAACTTTTCTGAAAGCCTAAAGTTATTTCAAAATGTCATTCAATTTTGGACAGCTTTGCAAGTTAAAAAAATTAAAAAGTTATTGTACTGAGCAATTATTTGTCTTCCTGAAGTTTGTGCCCATGTATTCTAATCGTATTCCTTGAGAAACAGTAGAACACTGTTAACACCTTCTCTGTGATGGACTGCTTCAGATATTTCAATGGACTTACCACATCACCAAAATGTTAACTTTTACAAATTAAACATTCTCCAGTCCTCAGCATTTTAATACCTTCATTATTCAATCACTTTTTCTCTAGAATTGAAGGTACAGAATATGCTTTGTTCTACAGGCTGTTCTTGATAGCAGTCTTTCCTGACAGATGTAGACACATTTGACAAACATTTCCCAAATCAGACCCTCTATGGCTAGGACTACCAGCAGTTTCCCCATCAACTGTCAAATCCTCCTAATTACAGGAGTTCCTGACACCCACTGAAACTGACAGTGATAGTTTATATTAACATTAGTAATTTCCAGTAGTATTCAAGGCCCCTCATATATTTAACTGCTATTTTTGAGTAACTCTTCTACTCCTCATCATGACTATCATAATGCACCCAGGCAGAGGTTTCTTGGATACCAGAGGTGGGGATTCATGTGGCTATAAAACCCATCAGCTTAGTTTACTTGAGCTGCCATAACAAAATACTACAGACTGTGTGACTTAACTGATTATTTTTTTCTCTCAGTTCTAGAGGCTGGGAAGTCTAAGATCAAGGTGTTTGTTCTTGGTGAGGGCTCTCTTCCTGGCTTGCAGAAAGCCACCTTTTGCTATTTCCTCACATGTACTTTCCCCAGAAAATGCACTTGAAGAGCGAGCGCTCTGCTGTATCATTCTCTTCTTATAAAGGCAAATGTTCTGTCAGATCAGAGCTCCACCCTTAAAATGTAATTTAATCTTAATCACCTCTTTAGAGCCCCTATCTTTGGTATATTCACATGGGGGTTAGGGCTTGAACATGTGAATTTAAAACAGACAAAATTCAGTCCATAACATTGTGCCCCTGGCCCTGACAAAATTCATGTTTTTCTGACATGCAAAATACATTCATATAATACCATCCCAAACAACCCTAAAGTCTTACCTTCTTTCAGTATCAAGTCTAAAGTCTGAAGTTCAATTTCTCATCTATATATCATGTAAATAACATAAGGGTAAAAGTCTGGGTATAATTCATTCTGAGGAAAAATTCATCTCTAGCTGTGAAACAAGACAAGTTGTGGTGCTTCCAAAATACAAAGGTGGACAGACATAAAACAAATATTTTCATTCCAAAAGGGAAAACCTGGAAGAAAGAAAAGGCTGATGGATTCCAAGTAACTCTAAAACATAGTAAAGCAAATTTCATTAAAGATTAAGGCTTAATAATAATTCTCTTTGGTTGAATACTCTACCCTTCAGGCTCACTGGTGTGGCAGCATCACCCCAATGGTACTGAGAGGGGATCCCACATTTTGACTCTCTGCAAAGGTCTTGCCCTCTGAAACCAGGGAGAAAATAGTCTTGCCCTTGGGATTGTGGTGGGAATGGCAGCCCTGATGACCTCTCAGTCACTTCAAGGTTATTATTTTCTTTTATTAAAGAGTAGCACACATTTGAATCCAAATAAATAGCTTCATGATCTGGTCTTACAGAATCCAGGAAAGTCAATGGCCTCCCTTTGTTGGGTCTTACTTTGTCTGTCCCCTTTAGTTTCACCTGGCAATGCTTTTAGTAGTAGAATAGAGTCTCGGCTCTACTCCTGGCTTCTGCTGAGATCAATGTTTCGGTCCCTGAGTTGCACCCAGGATGTCTTTACCAAATGGTTGTTCAGCCACACCCACAATGTTCCCTTCAAACTAAAAACACACTTTCTCATTTTCTCCAATATGCATAGGCTGAAAATTTTTGAAAACTTCAGGTTTTGGTTACTTTCTGTTTAACAATTTTATTTTCAAATTATCTTTCCCCTTTTTCATTTTACTATAAGTAGTTAGGAGGAACAAAGGTGCTCTTTTAACACTTTGCTTGGAAACTTATTTAGCTAAATGTCCAATTTAATCATTTGGTCACAACTTTTACCTTCACAAAACACTAGAACATAGTTCATTCAAGATCTTTGCCACTTTACAACAAGGATCACCTTTCCTATTGTTTTGAATAACATGATCCTCATTACCTTCTGAGGTTTCACAAAAATTCTCCTTTATATCCATATTTCTAGCCTCACCTTAAAACTCTTCCAGCCTCTACCCATTACCCAGTTTCAACGTTCCTTCCACATGTTTAGATATCTGTTACAGAAGTACCCCCACTTCTTGGTACCAAAATCAGTATTACTTAGGGTTCTCCAGAGAAACAGAACCAGCCGTATACACACATGCACACACAGACACACACAAACATACACGGACTTAAGAAATGGATATGCAATTGCAATTTTGGAGGCTGAGGAGACATAAGCTCTGCAGTTGGCAAGCTGCGGAGACAATAATGCAGTTGGAAGGTTTGAAGTCGAAGAACAAATATTTCAGTTCTTTTTTTTTTTTCCTTTGGAGATGGAGTCTCGCTCTGTCGCCCAGGCTGGAGTGCCGTGGTGCAATCTCGGTTCACTGCAAGCTCCGCCTCCCGGGTTCACACCTTTCTCCTGCCTCAGCCTCCCAAGTAGCTGAGACTACAGGCACCCGCCACCACGCCCGGCTAATTTTTTGTATTTTTAGTAGAGACGGGGTTTCACCCTGTTAGCCATGATGGTCTCGATCTCCGGACCTCGTGATCCACCCGCCTCGGCCTCCCAAAGTGCTGGGATTACAGGCGTGAGCCACCGCGCCCAGCCATATTTCAGTTCTATTCTGAAGTCAAGGTAAGACAGATGTCTCACCTCAAGCAGCCAGGCAGAGGAGTGCTCTCTTATTCACAGGAGAGTCAGACATTTTTTTAAAAGTCTATTTAGGCCTTTAACTAATTGGATGAGGACCACCCACGTTATAAATTGCAATGTTTTATTGAGTTTACTGATTTAAAATGTTACTCTTCTCCCCAAATACCGAGAATAAGGTTTGACCAAATATCTGGACACCCAATGGCTCAGTCAGGTTGATATATAATATTAACTATCACACATATGAAGTCAACATTTTGTTTGTAAGATGAATATTTCTCTAGATTGAGTGGCCATTTTTTAGTAGCCCATTCTCGGAAGAAAAAAATGGAAATATGACGAACAACTCGTAAATGGTTCCAACTTAAAACACTCCATCTAGCAGAATTCTTGCTGAGTTTTCTAGTGGCAACCACAGTGAGGCTTATTTGTTTCCAAGAAGCTGAATTAGGAAATAAATGTTCTCTATGTAGCAACATCTTAGCTACTCTTTAAGTCTTCTTTGAGAGAGGCCATTGTATTACCCTGGACTCAGGTGAAATTGTGCTCCCGATAGGTGTCCTCACAAAGGTTGCAGTTAAGTACATCCAAAACTTTCATGGGGAGTTTGAACTCATGTAACTGAGGGAATTGGTAGGAATTCAATTTTCTCTCAACATAGCTGCTTCAAAACAAAAAGAATTAGGTTCAAGAAGTAAATCCTACCCCCAAATGGTAATTCTGGGGATATTACAGTTTTCCAGTTTAGACATATGTATTATTACAGATTAATAACTCAAGCCATTTTAATTTTGAGGCCTCCAAAATTAGAGCTTGAGAAAGGGGGAGTGTATAAGCAGTTTGGGACACTATCCCCTAAAATAGGATTGAAGGAGCCAAGAGAGTTAGGAAAGGGTCACAATTGCTACTGAGATTGCAGAAGTCCTCCCAGAACTGTCTCGTCATTCGTCTATAAGCTTCCATTTCTCTTGATTGAGGTTTGGCTCTGAAGATACTCATTTCTGGCTGTGTTTGCCTGTACATGCAGAAAACTCCACAGAAAATGCCCGAAAGAAGAAAGCAGAGAGCAGTTAAGTCTAGTGCCAAGGGTTGCAACTGTCAAGCCAATGTGACTACCCAGGGAATTTTTCAATAGGAGTACAATTGAAATCGGAAGTGGGCTAAATTTATGTCAAGAGCCACTGAAAATACGTTGACATAATTTAGAAGTTTCTTTTAGTGAATGTTGATGTGTCAAACTTTGAAGTTTTGTTTTTTGAATATATCTTTATTTTGTAACTAAAAAAAAACTTTACAGAAAATTCAACTCAATGTACAATTCATTTGTTTTGAGACTGTAAAGATAAGCTACTTCATTGCTGAGGTGAGGAATCTATCAGTAGTGCAATTGGCATTCTGTTTGATGTCATCTTTCTCATTAGCTGTTTATGAGGTATTCTGTTTTACATAAGGTTTTGACTTTTATTTTCCTGTATTTAAGTGTGTATTTCTTGTACTTCCTTGTCTATAATTTATTGTGATTCTGGAGTTAAGGATGCCTTACTTTAATATTTTTGGAAAATTTTAAGACATTATTTATTTGAGCACTACCTCCCCACATCTCTACTCCTTCTGTCTGCAACTCAAGATTAGATGTATCTTATAACTTTTAATTTTAATCTATGTAACTATTAATTTTTTAAAATAGTTGCTATATTTTGTATTCCAACTTAATTCCATATAATTTCTTCAGATATGCATTTAAGCTGGGTAATTTAATTTTTCTCTGTGTACAAGTTGCTGTGTAAATCAATTCAAATTTTACTTTCCATATTTTGTTTTTATTTTTAAATTTACTATTTGTCTTATATACAAATCTATCTTGTATTGTATATTATCTTGTCTTTTGTTCATGTATTTAGATTTCAGAGAAACAAAACATTGATTTTGTATTTTATATTCTTTAACTGATAATGCTATTTACTGAAACACTCAAAATTTTATTTGGCATTGTTTGATATTGTTCACTCTAAGACATGTGAATTGTTTCTTCCTGAATTGTGAATTGTGTACTTGTGTTGTGTATAGGTGTGAACTGTTATTGTATGCATCTCTGTGTGTGTTTGTCTTTATGTGATGCAATAACTTAAAAGTAGAATTAAGGCTCCAAACTACTAAAAATAATTTACATTTATTTTTAATATTCCTTGAAATTCTTTACTAGTATTCAAATATTATTATTTTTAGTTGTACTCCCAAATAGTGAACATCATTTTTTTTTCTCATGATAAGATTATGATTCCAAGTACTCTAGAAGGAGCTTTTGGCTTTTCTTTGATTATTTAATGATTTATGTTTTGTTTGCTTTGTTTTGTTGAAGAATCATTTCCATGAATATCTCAGAACAAGATAGGCATAGCATTTTATATGTCTTAAACTAAGTTAGAGCACAGCATTAGGGATTTTGAATGTTTGGTACAATTCCTGGGAACTGTTGCATTTTTGTGGGCTGGTTTTTAAAATATTTTCTCTATTCTTTTCTCGGAAATTGATTTATTAAAATGTTAATTTGGGGTAATTTGGAGAAACAGTATTTTCTAAGAAATTATATCTTCAAAATATTTTAAAAATTATTTACACAAATTTAGAAATAAATACCTCCTGTATATATTTTAAATTATTTTTATTCCAGTGATTATTTCTCCTTTATAGTTTCTTACATTTACAATTCTTCTTATTTCATCATTAGGTTAGTGAGTGGTGTGTCAATTTTGGATATTGAAAAACATATTTATAATGTTTATTCCTTAAGCAGTTCAATTTTATGGGCATTTTAACTTATTAATTTTTGAATTTTATACTATCTTCAATTTCTGCTTTCTTTTGCTTTACTTTGTTGAAGTTTCAAGTATTTTAAGTGATTATTTGATTAATTTCTTATTTTAAAATTTTGTTTACAGAAATGTTAAACAGTACTCTCTATTGTATGTCATAAATTCTAAGATGTATTATTTCATTTACATTATTTTAATGTAACTTTTTATTTTTATTTTGCCTTTGACTTAAAATGCCTGAGAATGGAAAGTCCTTTTTATTATTATTAATGTCTCTTTTATTTTGTTTTGACCATAAACTGTATTTTCTTAATTTTACTTTGCAGTTCCTACTGTGACCTTTTAAAAAATGATTCAATACAAGTTTTCTTTTAAAAATGTCCACTTCTCCTGGACCAGAAGTGTCTGAGCTCATTTTGTGCTGTTATAACAGAATATCATAGACTGGGTAACTTACAAAATAATTGTTTCTCACAGTTCTAAGGAAAGTTCAATATCAAATTGCTGGTATCTGGTGAGGGTCTTCATGCTTTGTCATCCCATGACAAAAGGGGAAACAGGGTAAAAGAGAAAGACAAAATGGCCAAACTCATTATTTTTAAGGAACCCACTCCCATGATAAAACCACCCCTGAGACAATAGTATTTCCATTCGTGAGGAAGGAGCCTTCATATTCTAATCACTTCGCATCAGGCTTTAACTTGCAACACTATTGCATTGGGGATTAGGTTTACAACACATGAGTTTTGGGGGATATATTCAAACTATAGTAGAAGTTGTATTTTTATTATAGAAAAGCAGCCACATATAAATGTAAATACAAAGTGCTCCTAACTCATTTGAAAAACATGGGGGTTGGGAGCACTTACTTGCCCCATGCGATTCATGGTTAAACATCTGAGATAGAAAAACAACCACATATAAATGTAGATACAACATGCTCCTAATCCCTTGAACAACGTGGGGGTTAGGAGTGTGACCCATCCCCTGCAATTCCTGGTTAAAAATCTGAGTCAAATTTTTGACTCCACCCAAATTTAACTCCTAATAGCTTAATGTTGATTGGAAACGTTACTGATAACTTATAGTCAGTAGATTAACATGTATTTTTTATGTTATATGTATTATATACTACATTCTTACAATAAACTATGACAGAGAAAATAAGATGTCATTAAGAAAATCATAAGAAGAGAAAATACATTTACTATTCATTAAGTGAAAGTAGATCATCATAAAGGTCTTCATTCTCATCATCTTCATGTCGAGTAGGCTGAAGAAGAGAAGGGGTCAGCCTAGCTGTATCAGTAGTGGCAGAGGCAGGAGAAAATCCCCATGAAAGTATACCTTCACAGTTCAAACATGTGTTGTTCAACGATCAACTGTACATACAAATATATGAAATGCTTTATTGGTTATGTTATTTACACTTAATTGATTATAAACCTATGCTTTTTATGGATGAGAGAAATTGATTATAGTATTCATATGAGAAAATATATGAATACAGCAAGAATAACTAAAATAATGTTGTATTAGTCCATTCTCACATTGCTATAAAGAACTACTTGAAACCTGGTAATTCATGAAGAAAAGAAATTTACTTGACTCACATTTCCTCAGTCTATACAGAAGGCATGGCAGGGGAGGCCTCAGGAAACTCACAATCATGGCAGAAGATGAAGGGGAGGCAAGTACATCTCCACATGGAGGCAGGAGAGAGAAAAAGAAGGAGGAATTGCTACACACTTTAAAACCATCAGATCCCATGGGAACTAACTCACACTATTAAAAGAACATCATGAGGGAAGACCACCTCAATGATCCAATCACCTACCTCAGATTCCTCCCTCAACATGAGGATTACAATTCCACATGAAATTTGGGTGGGGACACAGGGCCAAACCATATCAAATGTGTTACAATAAGCGCTTGGTAGCATCTCTACTAGATAATAAAATATACATATATAATACATACCTCATGTTATAAGCAAAATATTTGTGTTTCTCAAAAATTAATATGTCAAGGCCTTAAACTTCAGTGTGAGTATGTTTGGAGATTGGACATTTATGAAAGTCATTAAGGTTAAATGAGTTGATAAGGATAGGGACCTGATTAGATGGAATTTTTGTCCTCGTAAGAAGAGTTAACAAAGTACTCTGTGTGTGTGTATTTGTGTATGCATGTTTACATACACTCAGGAAAGATGATGTGAGGCCATAGTGAGAAGGTGGCATCTGCAGCCAGGGAGAAAGGCATCATCAGTAATTAAATCGACTAGCACCTTTATACTGGACTTTCCAACTTACAGAACTGAGAAAAGAAAATTTTTTGTTGTTGTTGATGTCATCCAGCCTTTGTTATAGCAATCCAAGTAGACTATAATATACCCCATAATAAAAATTATTTGGAAGCCAGGTGTGGTGGTGTACACCTGTAGTGCTTACTTATGGGTAGCTACTCATGAGGCTGAGGTGGGAGGATTTCCTGAGGCAGGGAGTTTGAGGTACAGTGTAATATGATTGCACCTGTGAATAGCCACTGCACTTCAGCCTTGGCAACATGACAAGACCCTATCTCAAAAAAAAGTTTTTGTATTTTTTATGAGCAAATATTAAAACCAATGGAATAGACTAGAAATACAGATTATTTCAAATCAATGGCATTAAGACTATTTTATAAAAGATAATAGGGACAAAGGGAGCCATTTAACAATGAAACTGAATTTTTGCCAGCCACATACACCATATAGACTCAAATGGAACTAAATGTAAAAAAAATAAAATAAGATAAAATACGACTTTAAATAGAAAACAAAGATATATAAATACTAGTAAAAAAAACTACGTGATTTCTTTTTGGAAAAATAATTTTGTGAAGCAATTTTATTGTATTTATATTTGAACATAAATTATCTTGTCTATAGAAAACGTATTATTTGGATTTAGGAATATCAGTTTAAATTTAATTTCTGTCAATTTTCTAATGTTTCCTGTTAATTTCTAGATTTTAGATTTACAGAATAACCTAAACCCATGCTGAGTTTTAGGGGAAAGAAGTTAAGCAGCTGGTCTGGAATCCATTTATCTCCAAATTACAAGGAAAAGTTGCTGGGGAAAGATGCCATAGGGGAAAAATGGTGACTTGATCTTATCTCCTTGTAAATATACTACTATCTTGATCTTCTGGTAAACAAACTACTGATATTTGCTAGAAGGAGAGTATTATCTATGGATTTGTCTTAGCAGTATGACCACCATTTAGGATTGTGTATAATAAACAAAACAAAATCCATGGATTTATTAGGCATAACTCCCTGAAAAATGTCACACAATCACTGAAATCATCTGGGTATCAAAAAAAGAAGCTTCATAACCTCAACTCTCCCTGTTGAATGTGGTGACATACAAATGGCACTTAGTGAATTCCTCCATAAAATAGGCCACAGGGAATGCATCCAATATGAGAATGAGGTACCACAGAAGCCACACAGGATGTGGTAGACCTCTCCCACCTTTGCTTATGCTTCTTGCATGATTGTATTCTTCAGCTTCATAGTAAAATATAATACTAGATAAGATCTATGATTTCTGTCAGATTTGACCATTTAATTTTTGTGTTAGTTAATGTTGGCATTGTGAACAAGAACACTTCTCAGACTCATAAATCATAATGGCTAAGGCACTTTTTAGAAAAAAAAAAGCTGGGGTGAAAAAATATCATGAGTATCTGGTGAACGAATTACTCTCTACTCATCCTTGATATGAGGCAAATGATGAGATAAATTCATGTGAGAAAATCTTATAAGTAAAATATGGAAAAATAGACCCAGTGGAAGTGGCTAAGTGGATGGTTAGGCAGTGTAAGGCTTAAGGAAAGGTACCAAGATTTCAGTTCTTGGGTATTATTAACGGTTCTGAACCAGCCTATAAGTCTAACACAAGAATTGGGTAACACGGGAGAAAAATCTTTTTGTAAGACCAATTTCCTTGTCACTGGAAAACTTTCTAAGTTTTTCATGACTGTAGAGAGGTATCAATTTACTTGCAAGATAACTCAATAAACATAATATATTAATTGTAGAAATAAATGGAGTATCCTTTTAAATAGCTGAATTGTGTTATAGAATAATACTGCTAGAAACCTGGTTAATTATATTGGCATATATCCTTAGAATTAATGTTCAGAAGATGCATCACTAACTTTTAAATCTACTGAATGGAATGGATTATTTGAGTTTCCAACAAAGCCTGAAAAAAATGAAAACATTTATGGTAAGGAGTTTCCAGGCACATATACCAGCTAATCTGCACCAGTAGCTAAATGCAAGAGTTGGGCACATCTACCCTGACAGGGGAAATTGCCCTATTCTTCTCCACACACTAATAGAATCCTTCCTCCTAAGTGGCTGAAATGTTAACAATATCAATGGTTTTATATTGTCATTAAAATCATCATAGAGGCAAATCTAATTTTATGCCATTGGCAGGGATGTTGATAGATGTGGAGTACAGTGAATTTCTCAACCTTGGTGGCCTTGGCTAAACTTGCTCTTGGGAAGCTCAAGTAATATTCAGCAGGCAGAGTTTTAGTGAATCCGTGCTACAAACTAAACGTTTGTACACCCCAAATTCATATGTTGAAATCTTAACCCCCGACCCTCCTATGGTATGAGGAAGTGGGACCATTTTTAATGATTAAGACATAAGGATAGAGCCCTTATGAATGAGATTTGTGGCTTTATAAAAATGACTTTGGAGAGTTCCCTGGTCCATTCTGCCATATAAACATACAGTGAAAAGACTGTGCTTATGAGACACAGAATGTGACAGTGCATTGATGCAGGATTTCCCAGGTCCAGAACTGTGAGAAATAAATTTCTATTGCTTATAAGCCATCCACTCTACACTATTCTATTATAGCAGCCCAGAAGGACTAAGAAAATCTGCACAGAGAAACTGCATAAGGAGAAAAATAGTCTATACCTTAGAAAGAAAAAGGACAGGAAGACATGAAAAGCAGGCTAGAAAATGACAGCCAGGTCAGCTGGGTGGATTTATTTATTTGGGTTTAAAAAATACAGTTGAAAACTAAACATATGGAGTTTTATATTAAGGGTTTGACAGCTTATTATCAAAGCCTGATGGGTGAAAGAAGCAAATCCAGCCAACTCCTCACTTTTTAAGCACATTGGAAAATTTACTCTCTATATCTTTGTCTGAAAAAATTCAAATCCAATTATAAGAATCATGATTTATAACAGATAATTCTAAAATAAGGTGCTAAATTTATTGCTTTAATTAAAGACATAGAATGGGAACAAAAATGAATGAAAGGCCAAGATCTTGCCCTACCACTGGGAGTGAAATGAGAGTAGAATAGTAGGCTGTATTCAATAGTTCAAGTAAAATGGACAATGAATAGTAAAAATATGAGGCAGCACCACAATGAAGTTCACTTGTAAAGTGGCTTATGTTAAAAACACACAATAAGGGTAACAGAATGCAAGGAGAATATACTGCTTTCAGGAGTAGGTTAACTGTGCAAGGGGCAAGTGATTGATATTTACTTCCAAGAACCTTCCCTGTTCATCACTGTCTGTCCAAGTCCTGTGATTCTGTCTCAGGAAAGTCAAACTAGCCACTTGACTTACTAGTGAGACTTTCTGGATTAAAGCCCATTTGACTGCTTGGAAGCCAGCACCAGTACACCCTGGAGATGGCGCAACCTTGGGGAAAGAGGGTAATATTGTTTGGCTCTGTGTCCCCACCCAAATCTCATGTGGAATTGTAATTCCCAGTGTTGGATGAAGGGCCTGATGGGAGCTGATTGAATCATGGGGGCGGACTTTCTCCTTGCTGTTCTCCTGATAGATTTCTCATGAGATCTGGTTGTTCGAAAGTGTGTAGCACCTTCCCCTTAGCTGTCTCTCTCTCCTGTAAGCCATGTAAGACATGCTGGCTTCCCCTTCACCATCGGCCATGATTGTAAGTTTCCTGAGGCCTCCCCCAGCCATGCCTCCTGTACATCCTGCAAAGCTGTGAGTCAATTAAATATTTTTTCTTTATAAACTACCAAGTTTCAAGTCCTGGTGGTCTTTGGGTTGTTAATTGGCTTGCAGTTTTTAAAAAGATTTTGAAAAAAAATTGTGTAATAAAAATATATAGAAAGGGAAATAGCCTTAGGAGGAAAGAGGTAAAGCAGCTGGGCTGTGATTCTTCTGTCTTCTGTATACTGAGGAAGTGTTCCTAGGGAAAGAAGTGGGCTAGATGGTCTAATAACTTTGCAAACATGTTAACTCAGTCTCCTACATAGACTACCAATATTGACTGAGGGAGAATCCTTATCTATAAAAACTCTTAGGCAAGAGAAAGAAATAAAGGGTGTTCAAATAGGTAGAGAGGAAGTCAAATTGTCTCTGCAGATGACATGATTGTATTTTTAGAAAACTCCATTGTCTCAGCCTAAAATCTCCTTAAGCTGATGAGTAACTTCAGCGAAATCTCAGGATACAAAATCAAATCTGCAAAAGTCACAAGCATTCCTGTACACAAATATTAGACAAACAGAGAGGCAAATCATGAGTGGACTCCCATAACAATTGCTACAAAGAGAATAAAATACCTAGGAATACAACTTACAAGGGATGTGAAGAACCTCTTCAAGAAGAACTATAAACCACTGATCAAGGAAATAAGATAGGACAGAAACAAATGGAAAAACATTCCATGCTTAGGAATAGGAAGAATCAATATGGTGAAAATGGCCATATTGCCCAAAGTAATTTATAGATTCAATGCTGTACCCATCAAACTACCACTGACATTCTTCACAGAAGTAGAAAAGACTACCCGTTAAATTTCATATGGAACAAAAAAATGAGCTCAAATAGCCAAGACAATCCTAAGCACAAAGAACTAAGCTGGAGGCATCACACTACCTGATTTCAAACTATACTACAAGGCTACAGTAACCAAAACAGCATGGTGCTTGTACCAAAACAGATACATAGACCAATGGAGCAGAACAGAGGCCTCAGAAATAACGCCACACATCTACAGCCATCTGATCTTTGACAAGCCTGATAAAAACAAGCAGTGGGGACATGATTTCCTATTTAATAAATGGTGTTGGGAAAACTGGCTAGCCATATGCAGAAAACTGAACCTGGATGCCTTCCTTACACCTTAGACAAAAATTAACTCAATATGGGTTAAAAACTTAAACAAAAGACCTAAAACCATAAAAACTCTAGAAGAAAATCTGGGCAATACCATTCAGGACATAGGCATGGGCAAAGACTTCATGACTAAAACACCAAAAGCAATGGCAACAAAAGCCATAATTGACAAATGGGATCTAATTAAACTAAAGAGCTTCTGCACAGCAAAATAAACTATCATCAGACTGAATAGGCAACCTACAGAATGAGAGAAAAATTTTGCAATCTATCCATCTGACAAAGAACTAATATCCAGAATCTACAAGGAACTTAAACAAATTTACAAGAAAAAAAAAGCCCCATCAAAAAGTGGGTGAAGGATATGAACAGACATTTCTCAAAAGAAGACATTCATGCAGTCAACAAACGTATGAAAAAAAGCTCATAATTGCTGGTCATTAGAGAAATGTAAATCAAAACCACAATGAGATACCATCTCATGCCAGTTAGAATTGTGAATATTAAAAAGTCAGGAAACAACAGATGCTGGAGAGGATGTGGAGAAATAGGAAGGCTTTTACACTGTTGGTGGGAGTGTAAATTGGTTCAACCATTGTGGAAGACAGTGCAGGGATTCTTCAAGGATCTAGAACCAGAAATACCATTTGACCCAGCAATCCCCTCACTGAGTATATAACCAAAGGATTATAAATCATTCTACTATAAAGACACATGCACATGTACATTTATTGCAGCTCTGTTCACAATAGCCAAGACTTGGAACCAACCCAAATGGCCATCAGTGATAGACTAGATAAAGAAAATGTGGCACATATACACCATGGAATACTATGCAACCATGAGAAGGATGAGTTCATGTCCTTTGCCGGGACATGGATGAAGCTGGAAACCATCATTCTCAGCAAAGTAGCACAAGAACAGAAAACCAAATACCTCATGTTCTCACTAAGTGGGAGTTGAACAATGAGAACACATGGACACAGGGAGGAGAACATCACACACTGGGACCTGTCAGGGGCTGGAGGAGTAGGGGAGGGATAGAATTAGGAGAAATACCTAATGTAAATGATAGGATGATTGGGTGCAGCAAACCACCATGGCACGTGTATACACCTATGTAACAAACCTGCAGGTTCTGCACATGTGTCCCAGAACTCAAAGTATAATAATAATAATAAGAAGAAGAAGAAGAAGAAGAAGAAGAAGAAGAAGAAGAAGAAGAAGAAAGAAATAATAATAAAATAATAAAAAAGATACTCTTAGCAGAAGATCTTTGGTTTTGAATTTCTTAAGGTAAACAAACCTAAAACTCAAGAATTTAGAAAATATGATTTCCTAGAAAATATTGTACAAAATATTTAGGAATCTTATTATGAAATGGAGATATTTTATAACCCATTGATTCCCATTGGTGAAGGGACACACAGACTTTAGACATTATTTTCTTTATGGCAGAGAGAGTGTCCCAAGCAAGAACAGAACAGGCAAGAATAGCTGTTAAGAGTTATCTAGTACTATTTTATTTTGTTTACCTCCTTTGTATGGTAAGACATGGTATGCTTTTTTTTGGTGTGGCCTCCAATATCAGTGCACACATATTCTCCGTGAAAGCAGAACATGTCCACAAATCTCTCAGCTGTTTTTGAGTTTCATTTGCCTGCTTCTTTCAAGTTACTACAATAGCTTGATTATGGGCAAGATCTTGGATTTGTACGAATCTGATTTGACAATGTGATTGTTTCTGTTAGCTCTCTCTCTATTTGCTCTTCTAATTGAAAATAAGATTTTGTTCTTACTTTCAAATTTAAATATTACCAACAGATTTTCAAAATTGTGAGGTCACATCTCATTCATGTTGTCTTGCTTTTTATGAAGCTTTTTGATTTGGAAACACAAATTCATTTGCTTTTTAAAATTTGCTTCCACATCAGGGATTCTCTTTTTTTTTAAATTTATTTTAATTCTTGGAATTTTTTATTTCTTTCAAAACCCCTATAATACAGATTTTGGATTGGCTGTATCTTTATTATTCCTTACCATTCCTACTTCATTTCATTATTAAATTTCTCTTCTTTCAGAAAAGATATCTTCATAATATTTGTAACTTTATTCCTTTGCTTCGTTGCATAATTACATGATTATTCACCATCTCCAACATGTGTTTAATGTGCCAGTCATATTTTCTTACTGTATGCAATATTTTCTGATTTAAGTATTTCTCCTTTTATTATTATTTCTTCTAATTTTTTGATAATAAAAATTGCAAAACTTTTCTAAACATTCTTATTTTTGCATTAATTCAATATTGATCTGCTTCCTCAAGATTTTTTATATTAAAAGAATATTTTTTCACATGCTTTTTTATTCTATATATTCTTTCAGGGTAAATTCTCTGCTTGGTCAGTATTTAACATTATGATGAATTTTGTTAATAATTTGTTTTCTGTACACATCTTTCAGGACTAGTAAGATTCATGGAAACTCTTGAAATGTAGGCTAGTTTTATGTTGGCAATTCATAGAACCTGCTGAAGTGAGTAAGGATGGAATTCTTTCTAGGGATGATTACCACAGAACCACTGCTTTCATAATGTAAAATGTTTTAAGTTTCGTGTCATTGTTAACTGAGATTATTTTATTTTGTTAATCTCCTTTGTGTGGTAAAGGTAAGGTGTGGTATGCTTTCTTGGTGTGGCATCCAATATAAGTGCGCTGCCACATGTTCTTAGTGACTGCAGGACTGTCCAATCACTTCCACGTCTCACTCACTTTAGAAAAGGATTACTGTAGTGTCTAGTCTCTTCTATTTACTTCTCAGGAATGCTTTGAAGAAAATCATAGATCTATTTGTCTCTTCTTTCAGACAATTTTTCTTAGCAGTCTTAGTTGCTAGTATGTGGACGTTTATATATATATATTTACACACACACATACACATGAATAATATATATAATATATATTACTTTAATGATATATATAATTGACATATGATATATGAAACTTACCCATCATATGATATATATAATTATATATGATTCATGTATCATCATATATAAGAATCATATATCCTATATATGAGATACAGAATCATATATCACTCATATTTTTCATATATAATTTATATATTTGATAAAGAGTTATATATCAAATATATTATATATATCATATTTTGATATGTATCCCTTTATAAAAATATGTATAACACTTGTTTTCATATAAAAATCAGTTTTCAATGTTAAACTAAGAATGGGCCAGAATTAGATACGAACCTTCAATTCATTAAGTTTTCTAGAAGTAGGTTTAGCTGCTTAAAATGTATTAATATTTCTATATCCTAAATTCACATATAAAAATTATTGTCATTATCCTTACCTATAGATAAATACTTCATAGGGATCATACATCATGTATGTGACTCCACGTCCATAATCTCATTTAATTTTCACAAGAACCTAATGAGATGGTAAGGTAGATAACTGATGGCTGTCCTCTTAGCAACAGTTAGCTTCTTTGTCTTATTGGTGTACCTCTCTACCCACTTAAGGAATGAAATATCTTTTTCCAGAGAAGCTGCTTCACTCCTTGCTGAAGCCCTTTACCTAGACTACCCTAATCAGAATTGTGTATCTACCTGACAACAATGCATTATTAGTCGGGCGTAGGCATTTGACCCTAACTAGTCTAATAGTAAATTTAGATCATATCCTGGAAAAATACAAATTGTTCTAGGGACAGAACTATATTGTATTTTAAGGGCTAAAATTCAGACAAGACGTTCTTGCTACCATAAGGAATACCAGGCTCAGACTGAAGCCAAAACTCAGAGGAACAAAGAATTGAAATACATGCGGAGCTATGACTGCTTTGTGAAATTTTGAATCAAAATGTGCCTGAATTTAGTCCCACCTTTGGATATTCGAAGCTACATTATCATTTTTTAAAATATATGTAATGTGAATAAATGCATCCTCATAGATATAATTTGATTTTTAACACTTCACAAATAAATAAACTGTTAGAGAAAAAGAATAATTTGGTTCAAGAGTACACTAATAGGTGGTGAAACTGAAAGGTGAAATCAGGTTAATTTTCATGCCCCTGAATTTCAACATTGTTAAATACTATACGAGGTAGAAAATACTGTGTTTGACAATGATGCAAAGTTATGGAATACATGATATTTATATCTCGTTTAATTTTTATTTTCATGGGTTTATATTTGTGCAGGGTAGCTTATTACAGTGTCTGTTTCATTGATGAAGTCTTCATCAGTTACTTGTGGAGTTCCAACAGTTTCCTCTCACATGCTAATAAGCCTACCCAGCTACCTAACTTTCTGACCTTGGTTCCCTTGTGCTTACACTGCTTAACAACTTGTGCCCCATTTTCTGGTACTGTGTAATAACACTTTTAATAATGATTATTATAGTTTCTGAATAAGTCTGATGATTTTCTTTGCTTTTCTGGTAGTCCATTTGCTGCTTTCTGGCACAAGCGTGGAAGAAGTCTCTTTTGCCTGTGAAAGAGTGCTGCTTGAAATCTTGTGTCATCAGTTTTCTCAGTAAATGCAACATCCCTTAAAACTATAAGATGCAGACTCAGTTCTCTTCATGTATACAACCTCTGACAGAGGACATGCTTCCTACTCAATTCCATTTTAATCTCATGTACTAGCAATTTTCCTTCTTCTTCCAACAAGTTTTCATACTAGCTGACTCCTCAAGAACCCATCATAAAATTTGTCAGACATGTAGACACAATAGTGATTCATTTTTGGGCACTTGCTTCAGTTGCAAAATAAAATAACAAAATATTCCTGTGATGTATATTCAAGAAAACTGAAACCTTAAGTTAACTTAAGCATTTAATTCTATAAAACTACCATTGTACAAAAGACAACAAATCGATAAATGATGTGGACAGCTTTTGTTGCAGATATCTGATTTCAAAATGCTTCAGCAAAAATAAAATGTATTTAATTTTGTATTTATATAAATAAATCTATCCAATTGGCAAAATGACACTTCCAAATTATGTAGATAAAACATTTTTTAAAGAAATATTTGGCCTTAGCAATATCCCAGGATTTTATGAATCTGTTTAATAGTAAAGAATCATGATATGATATACAGTAACAGGCTGTGGATGAACAGTCAGACCGTAGACTCTTTCAAAAATTACAATTTATAGGTGAAAGGGAAATGAACTGTGAGAGTACCCCAGAAGATCCATGTGTTTTCAAAGGCAGCAGAGCGTAAGCTGAACGCTGCAGAAAATAAAGGAGGCATATGGAAGGAGAGTGTTCTCACCTATCCACCTGTAAATGAAGATGGTGCTGAATAAATATGCGTTGTCATTAGCACACATAAAAATGAAATAGGGATTTTGAGCATGTTTATGGTTTTATGCAAGATAAACCATGTTTTCCACTGTTGATCATTTATATACTTCCACAGTCATAACAATTTGTTATCATTGGGCAGTAATAGGAATTATTCTCAAACTAATAGAGGAATAATGATATCATTTTAAAAATTCTTGCTTTAAAGAATACTGATATAGTTTAGATAATTAATAATTCAGAGGCTTAGTTTTTTCAAGTATTGTTATTTTATTTAAATTGTATTTAAATTTCTACACTGCTTACTTCATCTCTAGTTTTGATAAATAAAACACAGTAAGTCACAGGAAAATGTTTTTTTAAATAACAGAATGCTACACTGATAGACATTAATATTTATGTTACCCAGCACATACCAAGATACTAAAAAGGCACTGTAATTAATACTGGGGTCCTCTATTATAATAATCTATTGAGAAATGTTAGTTCTGTTGCAAATAATTATTATTAGTGCTAATTTCAGATTTGCACAAAATTGACTCTAATTCCACATTATAATGTGAACAGGATCTGAGTGAATGCTGGAGACTAAGGACATGGAATATTCTCTAGAAACATTTTCATAGATATGGGTTAAACCAGTTGTTCTACCCAATAGTAATATAGGAAATATTTCATTTGTCAAAACATATTCCTTCATACATTTAAGCCTAATTTTATACAATTATTTTTTATATTTCTTATTATATTTTAAAAATATGTGTTGTCTAATGTTCACTAGTTCATTTATTCAATAATAATAGCAACGAGAGCAACATAACTAGTAATATAGATTGGAACTGTTCACACACCAGAAATAGGGCTTTGTACTGGAATGCAATGATGTACAATACCTATAAAGCTTCTCTCTTCACACAATTTATATTCTCTATGCACGAAGAAAAATGTTCCATGATGTCCTAATGATATATGATTTTTAGTGGTACCTAGACCCCCGTTACAAACACTGATATTACTTCTAATGGCAAGAGACGAGCTATCGTAAGTAATAAATCACTGCAAATCTGAGACACACCTGGACTCAAAAGCTAATCCTGATATATTTCAAAGTTTCAAGGTTGTGTAGTGGGAACGTGGTAGAGATTAGTCTTCAGTTGATTTTAGTGAAAGTAAGTCTTGGCAGGAGCAATATCCTGATTTCTGGAACTCTTGCTGGCTACTTGTTCATTGCACCAATTTTCAGCTTGAAAGGGATGAAAGATAGTCTAAGCTTCTTTGGAATCTATAGAAAACCTAATGAGTGATTTTGCTCTTTTTATTTTATTGTCCTGGTTTGTGAGTATCAGAGCACATTGTGTTATTTGCTAACCATTCTAGAACTCCCAAACGTTAGCAGTTTAAGTAGAGTTGTAGGAGCCAAATTCCTTCTCAAATAAAACAAACGTGTTTTTCTACTGTATCCTTATATTTTCCCAAAATAATAAATAGTGTCAATAAAATGAATAAAACAGTCGTTTCTCTGTGGTCTCTGTGTGAGAATCGTGGGAAAGGGAGAGTATTTTAGGCATAGACCCTTTTTGTAGTTCAGAGGTAGCCTTTGAGAATCCATGGAACAGTAGAAATCTCTGCACTTTATAGAAGCAGAACTTCGTTCTCTCAGAATTTGAGCCCAGTGTTTTATGTGAAATTTCCTAGGAAGGACATATCAATAAATTGGGTCTCTTTGGACTCCCACATTGTGACTTAGACCCTTTCCTGTATTCTGGCAGGCCTCAGTATTAAGGATAAAAACAAGATTGATTAGGTATTCACAGTGAAATGACTTGCAAGAAGCTGCCAAGTTACTAAAAGCAAGCAGCATTCCCTGGAAGATGGGCAAAGTAGTATGTCAAAGATGACTTATTTGAGTAAATAGAAAATATGTATATAAAGTTTTTAACTTGGGTTAAAAATTAATTATACTTAAATTTCACTTTAGAAAATTGTAACAACCCTATGTGGTCTTAAAGATTTAAATACTGCAATTATAAATCTGATGAGTTTTCTTTATACTATCACATTATGTAGGTTATTCATGAATTTTGACAACTAGGGACATATAATTCCTTTCTACAGAGTTACTGCACCTTGTGTGTATTATTCTGCCTTCACTCTGCAGTTCAAACTTGGCCTGTGTGGCTGAAACAGGTGCAGAGTGATGAGCTCTTTTAGCAGTTCTCCACACATTCTGGGACTTGTTGAGAGCCATTGGATGGGTACGGTTCTTTCTTGCCAAGAGGAAAATCTCCCCAAATAAGAACAGATGTTAATATGGGCAAAATGTTCTGTAACAATAAAACTTTTATCTTTCATTTATAGGAATTTTTTCATTCCCCAAAATACTTCAGCATTTTCATTTTATACAAGAATCATTTAACTGCAAAATTTTCATCAAGAGATAACCAATAAACTGCCATGTAATAGAGAAGGATAATAATTTAGAAAATAGATAACACATTTGGAATTACTTTATATACTTGCTCACAAACAACTGCAGGTTGGTTGTTTGACTTAAAGTTATCCTGTAATAAGATATTCTGTACAAGTTAGTTGAATAGATATATACATATTTGATGAATTGTGCAATAGCCTTCGGATATATATTGATCTTCCAGAAAGTTTATACTTTCAGGTGAACTTCTACAGTTTTTTCTCCAAATCTTTAAGAATTGCCACTGCTACATTTTTGATTAATTTAAATGAGCTCTTGAAGGCAAACATCACATTTTGAAGCTGATTTTATAGCCAAATATGCATAGAATTAATAATTTTCAGAATATGATGTTAATATTGAGTTGTCACTAGTTTTAGAATACTTAATTGTTTTAGGTGATCATTTTCTTTAAACAAATTAATATTAATTGGCAATATAAAAATGGTGATTTGGGACTATTTTTATTCATGGAACACTGGTTTAGCACAGACTATTTTGAAGACAATTATTATTTTATCGAGGTATTCCAGAAACTGCTTAGTACATGGTTTTAGATGTGTCATATTGAAATTTACATTTAGAAACCGGTATGTACCTGCCTGTATATGTGTATATCACTCCTTTTTTTCAGATAAAAGAAAATATGGTAAATTTATCAATAAAATTATAAATAAAAAATTTATTTAATTTAAAATTTATCGTATAATATGACAAATTTACCATATTTTCTTTCATGTGAAAAACATTTAAATTATTGAAACAAAAGAGAAAATTTTAGTATTACGAAGATAAAAAATATAGGTTTCAAATGTAAACTCATTAGTTTTCCTGAAAGTGATAACTATATACATTTTTCTGAAAATTGATAACTATTGTTTCTGAATTTAAATATAGATTCATAAGAACTAGTTGACTTCAACCCAATGCACATGGTATCCAAAAAGTTGAAAAAAATCATCTTAAAGATTTTTTCATCTAGTATGAAATATGCTTTTGATTAATTGAAGGCTTAGATTATTTATTTAGTATCTTTGTCATATAAACTGAAACATATTTCTATAGACAAAGAAGTATAGAAATGACAGTATGTCAAATGTTAGATACTTGCCAAATTATGATAGGTACTTAAAATCAGGATGTAGTAAATGATCTAAACAAGCTAACTCAAGCTGTTTAAGCCAGAGAGAGTATTAAATACTGCTTTACTGCAATCATTTTAGGGCCAAAAGATAGTCTGCATTGGGACCCCTTTTAAAGAACAGATCATAGCTATGCTCCATGAGGTCCACTTATTTTCAAAATGCTAGCAAAAGGAAAACCCTTCTCTGAGCAGGCAAAGTTCAGAGAGACATAAAGAGACAGAGATTCAGGCCAGTGTGAGTTAGTCACTGTGGGGTTGTTTGCACAATTATGTGGGGGCACTGCTGACGCACAACTTTCCAGTAACCAGCAGCTGCAATTAATAATTTTCAGATTTATTTGAAATAAACAGATCTCCTTTCATTCTGCATTGAATGCAAAGGATTACATATTGACTAAAAGGAAAATAATACCTCTGTTGCTGAAATTTAGGAATTGAACACATTGTATTTAAAGCAGGAACTCTGACTAAATGAGGACAGATTAGTATCCTATATAATTGTTATTAAAAGTACTAATACAAAGAATTAACTGATATGAATCAATATGATATTTGAAATGTAGTAAGTCAGAACAACAAAAGGAAACATCCGATTTAAATTAAGATAATATTTATATGAACCCTTACCTAAGAGTTTTGGCAGTTCCTTAGAGATTAAAGATTGTGTGTTATTAGTCTAACCATACATATAAGACATTTTAATTTGACATTTATTAATTTGAGTCATTAGTCATTAATAAATTGTATATTATTTATCCCCTAATCTTAATTGTCATTTTAAACAAATTCTTGAATTAGGTTTATAAATCCTGAGTTATTGAGCCTTCACAGATACTATCTCGTAATTATTTTACCTGGGTTGATTAAGATGAATGAGCTAAGAGAAAGAAATTGAATTTTAGAGACGTATATTGCTAATAACTACTACTACCTGAGCACACAATATATTATAATGAGAGTCATTTTTCCTTCTATTTGTGTGTTTCTAGCTTCATTCTGAGCCTTCACCATTAAATATAGGAATTAGACACTGCAACCTCCTGTAATAAGAAAAGAAGAATAATTTTCTAGATCCTAATCATCTTGAGATGAGATATTTTCAAATGGAAATTTTTAAGTTTACTTGGAGAATCTTCACAAAATAGTGAACTTTAATGTGTTAAAAAACAACTAGGATTATGGCCGGGTGCAGTGGCTCACACCTGTAATCCCAGCACTTTGGAAGGCTGAGGTGGGCGGATCACTTCAGGGCAGAAATTTGAGACCAGCTTGGCCAACATGGTGGAACCTTGTCTCTACTAAAATTAGAAGAAAATAGCAGGGCATGGGAGACATTTTAATTTGACATTAGACTAATCCCAGCTACTGGGGAGGCTGAGGCAGGAGAATGGAGAATTGCTTGAACCCAGGAGGTGGAGAGGTTGCAGTGAGCCAATATCATGCCATTGCACTCCAGCCTGGGTGACAAGAGTGAGTGAGACTTGATCTAAACATTAATAATAATAAAAATAAATAAATAAAGATCACTAGGAATAGTTGAAGCTTATTTTTTCTTTGCAGCCCCTTCACCATTATGCTTGGGTCAGTTGATTTCCGAGTGGCACAAAGAAGATGTAAGGTAGGAAAAAGAAAGAAGATAATGAAGATAAAGTTTTCACTAGGCTAAGCAAAAGAGGATGCTATAACAGGGTGAAGAGACTTTGGAAGTAAAACAAATAAGATGCCTATATTACTCAAAGCAACTCAGGGAAGAAAAAAATATGGGAACATATAAGCTAGGACTCTGTGTCCCCATAACATCCAGCAGAGGGTTTGTACGATAGAAAAGCCAAAAGGTATTGATAAGTACCAAATAGTACCCTAATCCTCCACAGCCTCCGCTTGGTATGCAAGAGACAGTTATGCCACATGATGGACCCATGTTCTAAGATTGTTGGTGTGTGGTCAATAGCATGAGGTCATCCAAGGAAGTAACACGAAGTACAGACATCACATTTGAAGGATAAAGGCGAGAGCTTGGACTTCTGCAGTGGGTGCTAACACGGCATCCAACAGGACTTTGTAATAGTAGCCACACACTGAGACGCACCAGTGCAGAGTCACAGGTACACAGCTGTGGCCATCCAATGTGCAGCCAAATCCAACAAAAACATAGAGAAAATCCTTCAGACCAAGCTTTTTCCCCCTACCAATGCAAGGGCACTATACTTGGGAAAGAAGATTACAAAAGTTGAAAAACCACTGATAGCGAGTTGGAATATGAATTGATATGGTTTGGCTCTGTGTCCCCACTCAAGTCTCAACTTGAATTTAATTCCCATAATCCCCATGTGTCAGGGGCAGGACCTGATGGGAGGTAATTGAATCATGGGGGTGGTTTCCCCAAGGCTGTTCTCGTGATATTGAGTGAGTTCTCATGAGATTGGATGGTTTTATAAACATCTGGCATTTCCCCTGATGACACTCACTTTCTCTCCTGCCGCCCTGTCAAGAGGTGCCTTCCGCCATGGTGGTAAGTTTGCTGAGGACTTCCCAGCTATGCAGAACTGTGAGTCAATCAAATCTCTTTTTTAAATAAATTACTCAGTCTCAGTTATTTCTTCATAGCAGTGTGAGAACAGACTAATATATGAATTGACTATATTTTGCTAATAGGAACTGAGATAACTTAAAGGAAAGTTTTGACCTCTTTACAGTAAAAAGTGTCAACTTCTGAGATACTGGCTGATGAACTAGATAATCATTACATAGATCAACTGGAGATTTGATGAGGTTAACTGGAGAAATCAGTCAAAGTGAACCACTTCATAATGTGCATTCTCAACTCCAGGTAGAGGTACAATTAAGTTGAAACTGTATTCAATATTTTGTCATGAAAAATTATGTAAAGATAAGAAAGAGTTAACCTGTTTCTACTGAGAATCTCTGGCACTGATTTTTTTTTTAAACAGGGAAACAAAATTTAACAGTTGTACCCAAGTAATAACTTAAAAAGCATTCATTTATTTTCTAAAAACTGACCAATTACAGATAATGAGTAGCTTACATTTATCTTAATCCCTCAATATTGTAGGTTTTAGAGGGCAATATTTAACTACTACATCCTGCTAAATTTGTTCCAGATGTTAACCCCTTACTATGTAATTACTTTGCATTCCCCCTAGAAAAGCAATTTAATTCAGCCTCTGTTTAGTCTTTCAACAGGCCAGTAATTTTCTCTTTCCTTTTGTAATCAGGGAACTTTTCAGATATTTTTAGAAGATAGAGAAAGTGTTTCAGAAAGTGTAAACATGGCTGTTAAATTGGTAAAGAAACACATGAGAACTTTTAGCATGGTCACAATTTTCTATAGAATCTCCTAAAGAACAAAATTTTGTGATTACCAGTCACGTAACTCGCAAATTCATTTACTGGGAAACGCTATGGTTGAAAATATCCCTTCTGGTTTCTTGCAAGAAGCATCTTTGAAAGAAAATTCTTCAAAGTTTGAAAGCAGTATATCAGGGCAAAAATGAATTTATTCTTTATATCTTTTCCTCACCAGACAATTATTCATACAGTTCCATGTTTATTGAAGGTATACTCTGTTTCTGCTGCTCCTATGTGAATGAGTTGAATTTTTCTCAATTATTACAATCGGTTCCTCTGGAAGAAATGGAGATAGGAAAGATAGCTTTCCAACTTTGCCACTCAATGCCCTCTTCTGCTGCTGCTACAATAGACAATGCTTATTTATAGCATGGATTTTTTGTATAACCACAGCTCCTCTGACACTTGGAAACTAACTTGAAGCAGGAGAGCTATGCAGCCATTGGCCTTCCCTGATTTCCTCTAAGAATGCTTCATGGACCAGTGTACCAGAGGACCCAAAATTTTGGGGGGAATTTTATTTTGCTAGAACCTCCTGGTTCTAGCAAACATCTCAAAAAATTTGAGATGTTTGGGTCACTGGGCAAATTTCTTGCCTTCTCTGTTGAATTTCGCTAGCACTTGAGCCTGTTTAGTCTTCATCCTGGATATAACTTTTCCTTTCTGGTTGGGACCTTCTCCTTCAGGAGTGACTATGGACTCCACCAAGACTAGACTCTTGGTATTTTAACCACCATTCTTCCTATCACAATTTATGGATTCCTAACTTTGCGTGGGACTCCAATACTTTGGTATAATTTATTTGAGATATCTTAGGTTATCCTTGTCTCCTAGTTACTCTAAAAATGGAGATTATTAGGCTTTTTGACCTTTTGGAAAAGTTGCAAACTTCAGGACTGAATTGTCTCCATGTTTTCTTTTTTTGACATTTTATTTATTTATTTATTTATTTTTATTATACTTTGAGTTTTAGGGTACATGTGCACAATGTGCAGGTTTGTTACGTATGTATACATGTGCCATGTTGGTGTGCTGCACCCATTAACTCGTCATTTAACATTAGGTATATCTCCTAATGCTATCCCTCCCCCCCCCACCCCACAACAGGCCCCAGTGTGTGATGTTCCCCTTCCTGTGTCCATGTGTTTTCATTGTTCAATTCCCACCTATGAGTGAGAACATGCGGTGTTTGGTTTTTTGTCCTTACGATAGTTTGCTGAGAATGATGGTTTCCAATTTCATCCATGTCCCTACAAAGGACATGAACTCATCATTTTTTATGGCTGCATAGTATTCCATTATTAAGACAGAGTCACTCTGTTGCCCAGGCTAGAGTTCAGTGGTGCAATCTCGGATGACTGCAACCTTCGCCTCCCAGGTTTAAGCAATTCTCCTGCCTCAGCCTCCCAAGTAGATGGGATTACAGACGTCTGCCACCATGCCTGATGAATTTTTGTATTTTTAGTAGAGGTGGGGTTTCACCATGTTGGTAAGGCTGATCTCGAACTCCTGACCTCAAGCAATCCCCCTGCCTCAGCCTCCCAAAGTGCTGGGATTACAGGCATGATCCACCATGCTTGGCCTGTCTCCATGTTTTAAAAATACAAAAAGTCTTTATAGGCATGGCTTCATATGAAACTCTATGGGAAAAAATGATTTTCCAAGTATTTATGGACATCAGAGGGATCTTATAACATTTTTAGGTCTGAGCTCTCATTCAAAATTTTCGAAGATTTTCCTATAGGACCACATGGGATCTTTAAATAGTAGAATCTTGGAAGTATGGAATGGTACTCAGAAATTAGTTATTTAAAATGCCTAGCTAAACATTTTAACGTTGTTAATTTCAATATAGTTTACACACATTCTAGGAAATTTCACCATCTATTTCTGGCATTCCTATAAGCTTTGCCTAAAACTCTTTACTTTCCTGTATGCTATAAATCATGACAGTACTTATCAGAATATAATCTGTTTACCTTGTATGTCAGTTTCACCAACTTGTAAACTCTTTGAGAGTAAGTAGAATAGCCCCCCAATCCTTGTTGCTCTAGTACATAGGAAATTGTATTAGAATTTTGAAAGATGTCAAAATTTAGAATTTTAATGCCAAAATAATATTGGCATTAAACAGTTTTCCTCCATCCATCTTCTATCTCCAAACTTGTGTTCTCTCAATAATTTCTTCACAGTTTTTTTCTTCACATTTTATCAACATTTACCAATGATGATATACAGTGGCTGATATACAATTTATATATTTTAATTATGTTTTATGTATTCTGCTTCTAGGAATTAACCTCAGGTGGGCTGGGATATCTTTCTATTTTGCTCAATATGTCTTAAATAGTGTCAGTTCCATAGAAGATGCTCAATGAGCATGTTCTTTATGAATGAATGATTTAGAGAAAAAAATAAATAAATCAGGAAGAAAATGGAAATGTTTACATATGAAATTGAAAAAACTTCTCAAAAGGGAAAACACAAGCAAATATATTTATTCTTAAATTTTATAGTACAGAACATAAAATAGTGCCATACTCACATCGTTTGGCCCACATAGATTTTTTTTTAATTGGGGTAGGGTGTAGGTTGTTGCCAACTGATTTCATGTTAAAAACAACTACTAGATTTTTACTTATTTTTAAAAATTTAGTATTTAGCCATATTCAAATCATCCCAAACTGCTGGATTTGAGTAAAACTAACCCATTAATTTGTTACAAATCCTACAATTCCCTATGTCTTCTATATTCTGCTGTCTTTTTCATGCTACTTTGTTTAGCACTACAGACATTTATAATTTGACATCCATACTCTAAAGATAAAATGTTGCAACTACCAAATTTCTGAAAAAAAGCAGTTGTTACTTTTTGAGACCTTGTTATATTAGTTTTATATTGCTTTTTAACTAACTACCACAATGACAATTTTGGACAGTAATCCTGAAAGTAATTGCTATGCTCTGAAGAAGCTATAGTGTTGATGAAGATGGGCAACAAAATCAGTATCATTGTTTATATGCCCCCAATGCATTGGTCTTGCTGTATATTTTAGGAGACTGGCTTTCTAGTTGTACTGGAGAATCTGCATACTTCCTACTATCTTTCAAAATATTTCTTTTATGTTTTGCCTAGCCAAAGTGAATTCTACTATAGTCAGCTGAGAACTTTAACTAAAGAAGAGAGTTCATTAAACAAGATATGTGCCTATAAATATTTTTAAAATATAGTGGCCAGCTCTGAATATCACCTTGTCAAAATTTTAAATTGAAATACACATTATTTTCTCTCTTTGTCTCTCTCTCTTGTCTATCTATCTATCTATCTATCTATCTATCTATCTATCTATCTATCATCTGTGTGTATATACCCATGGATTTCATTTAAAAAAATTACCATGAACCTGGTATTTTTAAACAACACAAATTTATGATCTCACAGTTTGAAGGGTCAGAAGACCCTGCAAGGTGTGTTTTATCTGGGTTCTCTGGTCTTCTGCCTAGAGTGTCATAAGGGTGTAATCAAGGTATTGTCAGAACATTCATTATTTTTAGAGGCTTTGGAGAATAATCTGTTTCAGCTTATTAAGGCTGTGGCTGAATTCAGTTCCTTCCAAATGTAGGACCAAGGCCTCAGTTTCCCTATCAGCTGCAAGTCTGAAGCCAGTCTTTGCTCATCAATACTGCCTGTGTCCTGCTTTCCATGCAGCCCATTTCCAAAAAAAAAAAAAGACAATTGAGTTTCTCAAGTGCCACGTACACTTTGAGTCACTCTAAATTCCCCTTCTGCCTCATCTCTGTGACTTCAATCAAATAAAGTTCTGTTTTTATGTCATCATGTGATTGGGTTGTACCCACCTGGATAGTCTAGAATAATCTCTCTATTTTGAGGCTGGTAACTTTACATCTTCAAAGTACCTTTATGTTGTGTAATATAACATAGTCACAGGTTCCAGTGATTAGGGGTGTGTGTGTGTGTATGTGTATCTGTGTGGGGGTGTGTGTGTGTGTGCATGTAATAATAGGAAAGTAGTCTCAGTGTCTGGGGTGAAGTTGTCTCCTGTGTGGGGGTGACACCATCTTCAATGATGAGGTCTTGATTTGGAACCATATTGTCTAGGATGTGAGAGAAGGGTATTATTTTTAAATAAATACTCACCAGGCTCTTTCTGTGACTCTATGGTGTTATAATGAGACTGAGTCATTGTAGAATTTTAATCTTGGGCCTCGTAAATTTACTTACAAATATCTTTTCAGTCAAGGGACTTTATAGAGGCACAACTAGCAAAGGTGGTGTTGACACGTATGATGTTTCTTTTTCTTCTGCTCAGAACACCATCCTTACCACTTCTTTGTCTGCGTCTCAACTCATACCTCTTCCTTGTGAAGTCTTTCCTGACAACTGCTTCCTACTCAGGATTCCCTCCAATGCTCTCAGCAGACTTGGCTCACATCTGCTCTGTACAAGTCATATTGCGATAGTCCATGTTTGTCTTCCCACTAGACTGCAAGTTTATTGAGAGTAAGAGCTTCTTTTGTGTCTTTTAATTTTTTTATTTTCAATTTTTGTGGGTACATAATAAATGTATGTATTTATGGGGTATATGAGATATTTTGATACAGGCATACAATGTGTAATAATCACATCAGGGTAAATAAGGTATCCATCAACTCAAGCCTTTACCCTTTGTGTTACAAATAATCCAATTATACTCTTTCAGTTATTTTAAAATGTATAATTAAATTATTATTGGCTATAGTCACCCTGTTGTGCTATAAATAATAGATTGTATTCAGTCTTTCTAATTTTTACCCGTTAACCATCCCCACTTTCTCCCCATCCCCTTCACTACCATTCCAAGCTTCTGATAACCATCTTTCTATTCTCTGTCTCCATGAATTCAATTGTTTAATTTTCAGCCTGCAAAAATAAGTGAGAACATGCGAAGTTTGTCTTTCTGTGCCCGACATATTTCTCTTAACATAATGACTTCGAGTTCCATCCCTGTTATTGGAAATGACACGATCTCATTTTTTTATTTGCTGAATAGTGTTCTATTTTGTATATTTACAACAATGTCTTTATCCGTTCATCTGTTGATAAACAGGTTGTTTACAAATTTTAGCTATTGTGAATAGTGCTGCAATAAACATGAAAGTGCAGATATCTTTTTTTTTCTTTTTTTTTTTTTTTGAGATGGCGTTTCGCTCTTGTTGCCCAGGCTGGAGTGCAATGGCACAATCTAGGCTAACTGCAACCTCTGCCTCCCAGGTTCAGGCGATTCTCCTGCCTCAGCCTCCCAAGTACCTGGGATTACAGGCATGAGCTACCATGCCCGGCTAATTTTTTTTTTTTTTTTTAAGTAGAAACGGGGTTTCACCATGCAGATATCTCTTTAATATACTAATTTACACTCCCACTAACAGTTTACAAGGCTTTCCTCTTTGCCATATCCTGGCCAGCATTTATTATTGGCTGTCCATTTGATAAAAGCCATTTTACTAGGAGTAAGATGATATCTCATCGCAGTTTTGATTTGCAATTCTCTGATAATCAAATATATTGAGCACCTTTTCATATGCCTGTTTGCCATTTATGTCTTCTTTTAGAAAATGTCTATCTAAATATTTTTCATATTTTTTAATCAGTTATTTGATCTTTTTCCTATAGAAGTATTTGAGTTCCATATATATTATGCCTATTAATCCCTTGTCAGATAGATAGTTTGCAAAGTTTTCTTTTAGTAGTTTCATAGCTTTTAGTTTTAGATTTAAGTCTTTAATCCATTTTGTTTTGACTTTTGTATAGAGTGAGAGAGAGGGGTCTAGTTTCATTCTTCTGCATATGGATATTCTGTTTTCCCAGCACCAGTTATTGAAGACACCATCCTTTCCTCAGTGTCTATGCTTTAGAATTTGTTGAAAATAAGTTCTGTAGAAGTATAGATATTTTTCTGTGTTTTATATTCTGTTCCATTGGTCTACATGTATGTTTGTATGCCAGTATCATGCTGTTTGAGTTACTATAAGCTCAGATTATTTGAAGTCAGGTAATGTGGTTCTTCCGATTTTGTTCTTTCTGCTCAGGATAGCTTTGTCTATTCTGGATCTTTTACATTTCCATGTACATTTTAAGATTATTTTTCTCTATTTCTGGGAAGAATGCCATTGGTATTTTGATAAGGGTTGCACCAAATCTGTAAATTGCCTTGGGTAGTATAGATACTTTAACAATTTTGACTCTTCCAATACTGAATATGAAACATCTTTCTAGTTTCTTTGTCCTCTTCAATTTCTTTCATCAATGTTTTATAGTTTTTATTGTAGAGATCTTTCACTTCTTTCGTTAAGTGTGTGCATAGGTATTTAATTTTATTTGTGGCTACTGTAAATGGAATTACTTTGTTAATTTTATTTTTAGATTGCTTGCTGTTGGCATATAGAAATGCTACTAATTTTTGTATGTTAATATTATATCCTGCAAATTTGCTGACTTTGGTATTATTTCTAAGAGATTTTGGTGGATTGTTCAGATTTTTCCAAATATAATGTCCTATCAACTGCAAACAAAAAAAAATGGCTTATTTCTTTCCAGTTTGGATGCTCTTTATTTCTTTCTCTTCTCTGATTGCTCTAGCTAGAACTTCCAGTACTATGTTGAATAACAGTGGGGTAAGTGGGCATCCTTGTTATGTTCCTCATCTCAGAGAAAAGGCTTTCAGTCTTTCTTCATTTAGTATGCTACTAGCTATGGGTCCATTATATATGGCTTTTATTATGTTGAGGTATGTTCCTTTTATACTTGGCATTTTGCAGGTTCTTATTATGAAGGTTGTTAAGTTTTATCGGATACCTTTTCTAGCATCAACTGAAATGATTATATGATTTTCGTTCTTCATTCCATTGATATAATGAATCACACTGATTTGCATATGATGAACCATTCTTGCATCCCAGGGATAAATTCCACTTGGTCATGATGAGTGACTTTTTTAATGCATTGTTGAATTAATTTGGCTAGTATTTTGTTAAGAATTTTTCCATCAATGCTTACCAGGGATATCAGCCTGTAATTTTCTTTTTGATGTGTCTTTGGTTTTGGTATCAGGGTGATACTGGCCTCACAGAATGAGTTTGGAAACACTCCTTTCTCTATTTTTCAGAATAGTTGGAGTAGAATTGGTATTACTTCTTTAAATGTTTTGTAAAATTCAGCCATAAAGCCATCAGCTCTTGGGCCCTCTTTTCCTTGGAGACTTTTATATTACATCTTTGAACTCATTATTTGTTATGGACTGTTCAGGTTTTGAATTTACTTATGGTTCAGTCGTGTTAGGTTGTATGTGTCTAGAAATTTATCCATTTCTTCCAGGTTTTCTAATGTATTGTCATATGCTTGCTCACAGTAACCTCTAATTATGCTTTGAATTTCTGCAGTATTGGCTGTAGTGTCTCATTTTACATAACAGATTTTATTTACTTGGGCAATCTCTCTTTTTTTTCTGAGTCTGACTACAGGTTTGTGGATTTTATTTATCTTCTAAAATAACAACTTTTATTTCATTTATGTTTTGTATTCCTTTGTTCAATTTTATTTATGTTCTGATTATTATTATTATTATTATTTGTCTTTTTCTACTATCCTTGGGTGTGGTTTGCTCTTGCTTTTCTAGTTACTTGGGATGTACTGTTCAGTTATTTATTTTATGTTTTTCTACTTTTTTGATGTAGGTACTTAAAGCTATAAACTCCCCTTTTAGTACTGCTTTTGCTATATCCCATAGGTTTTGGTATGTTATGTTTCCATTATCATTTTTTTCAAGACATTTTTTAATTTACTTCTTAATCTCTTCATTGACCCACTGATCACTCAGGAGAATATTATTTCATTTTTTTTTTTCCCTGAGACAGAGTCTTGCTCTGTCACCCAAGCTGGAGTGCAGTGGCACGATCTGGGCTCACTGCAACCTCTGCCTCCTGGGCTCAAGTGATTCTCCTGCCTCAGACTCCCAAGCAGCTGGGATTACAGGTGCATGCCACCATGCCCGGCTAATTTTTTGTATTTTTGATAGAGATGGGGTTTCACCATGTTGGCCAGGCTGGTCCCGAATTCCTGACCTCAAGTGATCTACCCGCCTCGGCCTCCCAAAGTGCTGAGATTATAGGCATGAGCCACCATGCCAGGCCAATATTGTTTAATTTTTATGTGTTTATATAGTTTCTCAAATTCTTCCTGCTCTTGATTTCTAATTTTATTCCATTGTGGTCAGGGAAGATGCATGATATTATTTCAATTTTTTAGAATGTTTTAAGTCTTGTTTTATGGCCTAATACATGGCTTATCCTTGAGAATGATTTCTGTTCTGAATGGAAGAATTTATACTGTGCAACCATTAAATGAAATGTTCTGCAAATATCTATTAGGACCATTTGGTCTATAGTGCACATTAAGTTCAACGTTTTCTTGCTAACTTTCTGTCTGGATGAACTGTCTGATGCTGAAAGTGGGATGTTGAAGTCTCCAGATATTGTATTTGGGTCTATCTCTCTCTTTAGCTCTAATAATATATACTTTATACATCTGGCTGCTTCTGTGTAGGGTGTCCATATTTACAATTGTTATATCCTCTTGCTGAGTTGATCCCTTTATTAATATATAATGACATTATTTGGCTTCTTTTGTTTTGAGATACATTTTATCTGATGTAAATATAGCTACTCCTGCACTTTTTTGGTTTCCATTGACATGGAATATCTTTTTCCATCCATTTATTTTCAGTCTATGTGTGTCTTTATAGGTGAAGTGTGTTTTATGTAGACAATAGATTATTGGATTCTTTTCTTTTTTTTTTTGAAGTGGAGTCTCCCTCTGTCTCGAGGCTGGAGTGCAGTGATGCAATCTCAGCTCACTCTAACCTCCGCCTCCCAAGTTCGAGTGATTTTCCTGCCTCAGCCTCCTTAGTAGCTGGGATTACAGGCATGCGCCACCACACCCAGCTAATTTTTGTATTTTTATTAGAGACGGGGTTTCATCAAGTTGACCAGGATGGCCTCAATCTTCTGACCTCGTGATCCACCCACCTTGGCCTCCCAAAGTGCTGGGATTACAGGCATGAGCCATCGTGCCCAGCCAGGATTTTTTTTTAAATTTATTCTGCCACTCTATGTCTTTGGATTGGAGAGTTTAATCTATTTACATTCAATATTATTGATAAGTAAGGACTTACATTTTGTTTTATGTTATCTGGCTGCTTTGTAGTCTTCTTTTTATTCTTTTATTCCTTCCCTTCTTCTTTTTAGTGAATGTGATTTTTTCTGGTGGTATGCTTTAATTTCTTGCTTTTAATTTTTTTGTGTATCTGATGTATGTTTGTAGATTTGAAGTTATAACGAGGCTTACAAATAATATCTCATAACCCGTTATATTCAACTAGTGACAATGTAACATTGATTGCACAAACAAACACACAAAAAGAAAACTAATAAAAACTCTAAACTTCATCTTTGTCTTTTAGTCTTTTAACTTTTCTTTTTTTTATATTTATGTCTTATTGTGCTGTCTTGAAAGCTGTTGCAGTTATTATTTTGATTGTTTCATTCTTTTGCCTTTCTACATAAGATATACTAGTTTACACCCTACGATTACAGTATAATATTCTGCGTTTTTAAAATGTACTTACTATTACCAGTAAATTTTGTACTTTAATTTGATTTCTTATTGCTCATTAACATCTTTTTCTTTCAGATTGAAGAACTCCTTTTAGCATTTCTTGTAGGACTGGTCTAGAGTTGAAATTCCTCAGCTTTGTTTCTCTGGGAAAGTCTTTATTTCTCCTTCATGTTTAAGCATATACTATTCTAGGGTAAAAGTTTCTTCTTCAGCACTTTAAATATGTCATGCAACTTCTCCTGAACTGTAAGGTTTCCACTAATCGGTCTCCTACCAAACATAGTAAAATTCCATTGTATGTTATTTGTTTCTTTTTTCTTGCTGCTCTTAGACTCCACTCCTTATCCTCGACTTTTGGGCGTTTGATTATTAAATGTTTTGAGGTAGTCTTCTTCAGATTAAAATCTACTTTGTGTTCTGAAACCTTCTTGCACATAAGTATTGATATCTGTCTTTAGGTCTGGGATGTTTTCTGTTATTACCATTTTGAATAAACTTTCTATTCCCATCTGTCTCTCTATTTTTTTTTTTTTTTTTTTTTTTTTGAGATGGAGTCTCGCTCTGTCACCCAGGCTGGAGTGCAGTGGCGCAATCTCGGTTCACTGCAAGCTCCACCTCCTGGGTTCACACCATTCTCCTGCCTCAGTCTCCTGAGTAGCTGGGACTACAGGTGCCCACCACCACACCCTGCTAATTTTTTGTATTTTTAGTAGAGACAGGGTTTCACCGTGTTAGCCAGGATGGTCTCGATCTTGTAACCTCGTGATCCACCTGCCTCGGCCTCCCAAAGTGCTGGGATTACAGGCGTGAGCCACCGCGCCCCGCCCTCTACCTCCTCTTTAAAACCAATAACACTTAGATTTGTACTTTCGAGGTTATTTTCCAGACCTTGTAGGTATGCTTCATTCTTTCTTCTTTTGTCTCCTCTGTATTTTCAAATAGCTTATCTTCAATCTTACTAATTCTTTATTCTGCTTGATCACTTCTGCTGTTAAGAGACTCTATTGCATTCTTCAGTAGATCAATTGTGTTTTTCAACCACAGAATTTCTGCTCGATTCTTTCTAATTATTTCAATTTCTTTGTTACATTTAATCTAGTAGGATTCTGAATTCTTTGTCTGTATTATCTTGAATTTCGTTGAGTTTCCTGAAAACAGCTGTCTTTAGTTCTCTGTCTGCAAAGTCACATATCTCTTGTCTCTCAGGGATTGATCCCTGGTGCCTTATATAGTTTGTTTGATGATGTCATGTTTTCTTGTATGGTCTTGTGGCTTACAGATGTTTGTCAGTGTCTAGACATTGAAGAGTTAGGTATTTATTATAGTCTTCATAGTTTGTGTTCATTTGTACCTGTCTTTCTTGGGAAGGCTTTGTAGGTATTCTGAGTGACTTGGGTGTCGTGACATACATTTTTGGTCACTGCAGCCATATCTGCATTAGAGGGCATTGCAAGCCCAGTAATGCTGTGGTTCTGGCAGACACCTAGAGGTACCGCTCTGGTGGTCTTGGATAAGATCTGCAAGATTCCCTGAATTACCAGATAAAGACTCTTGTGTTTTTTCCCTTTCTTTCTCCCAAACAACTGGAGTCTCTTTCTCCCTTTGCTATGTTGCCTGGAGCTGGGGGAGGGTTGACATAAGATAAGGATCCCTGTGGCCAACACCACTGGTACTGCACTGGGTCAGACCTGAAGCCAGCATAGCACTAGGTCTCACCCAAGGCCTAGGATAACTATGGCCTGGCTACTGCTTACTCAGCCCTAGGGCTCTGCAATCAGAAGGTAGCAAATCCATACAGTATTGTGTCATTCCCTTCAGGGCAATGAGTTTTCCCAGGCCCCAGAGAGATCCAAGATGACTCCTGGGAGTCGGGGCCTAAAGTCAAAAACCCCAGAAATCTTCCTGGTGCTCTATTATTATTATTATTATTATTATTATTATTATTATTATTATTATTTTGTGTGTGTGGCTAAGCTGGCACCACACCATAAGACAAAGCCTTTCCCAGTCTTCCCTCTCTTTTCCCCAGGCAGGTGAATCACTCTGCATTTCACAACCACCACAGTTTCATGGGGACTACTTCCAGGCTGCTACCAATCTTCACTTAAGGCCCAAGTGTTCTTCAGTCAGCTTATGGTCAATCCTACTGTGCCTGGGACTCACCATTCAGGGAAGTGGGCTCCCCTGTGGCCCAGGGTAGGTCCAGAAGTGCTGTCCAAGAGCCAAGGCCTGGAATTTGGAACCCTAAAATCCCACTTGATACTTTACCCCACTGTGGCTGAGCTAACACCAAAGCTGCAAGACAAAGTCCTTTTTCCTCTGATTTTTTCCAGCAGAAGGAATCTCTCATCATAGCCACTGCAACTTTGAATTTGCAGGGTCACACCTGAAACCAGCATGTCTCAGAGTCTCACCCACAGCTCATGGTGTGTAGTACCTCGCTGTGGTCGCTGATTATTCAGGGCCGAAAGGCTCTTTAGTCAGCATTTAATGAATCCTTTCAGGATTGAGTCCTTCCTTTCAAGGAAGTGGATTCCCTTCTGGCCCAGGGTGTGGCTAGGTATGTCATTTGGGAGCTAGGGCCTGAAATGGGGGGTCACAGCTCTGCCTGATGCCCTATCCTACGTGGTTGACTGGTATCCCAGTTGAAAAACAAAATACTCTTTGCTCTCCCTCTCCTCTCTTCAAGCAGAGGGAATTGGTCTCTTTCTGAGCTGCAGGGTGCACTCTCTGGGGTTGAGAGAGGGATAGCACAAGCACTGCTGTAGCCACCCCACTGGTTTTTTACTAGGTCATCTACCTCCCCACCCAAGTCCATTGGATTCGAGCCCAGCACAGCACAAGGCTTTGCCTAGGAGTTGCAGTTCTTGTGGCTTAGATTGCCTTTCAAGTTTATTTAGGACCCCAGAGCTATTTAGCCTACAGTGGTGGGGCTTGCTGATACTCAGATTCTGACCTCTAGGCTGGGTGATTCCCGACCAGCTTTGACTCGTCTAAATGCTCCCTCTGTGAGTACCAACTGAGTTCTGCTCGGTGTTGCTTTCTCTTGCAACAGGGTAGCGCTGAGTTCCAATGCAAAGTCTCACAACCTACGTGCTCTCCCTCCCCCAAGTGAACAGATTATCTACACCATAAGGCCACTGCTGGGGGATGTGGGAGGGGTGGCATTGGCCATCCAAGAATGCTTTTCCTACTTTCTTCAGTGCCTATTTCGGTGATATAAGGTTAAAACCAGGTATTGTGATTGCTCACTTGATTTTTGGTTCTAATTAAGTTGCTTTGTTGTGGAGATAGTCGTTAAGTTAGGTGTTCCTGCAGGGAGGATGATCAGTGAAGGGTTCTGTTCAGCTATTCTCATCTGTGTGAAAGGTTAATATTTTTTCCTATGTTTATTAGTTGTGTGTGTTTCTTTAGGTTGAGGCATTGAGATTTGTACTTAGATGACTATAGCAGCCTCTCCTTGGTACAGTGCAGTTAGACTTATCCAAATAGATTTTTTTGCATGCAGTTATGTGGAACACTTCCTAAGGCCCAAGCACTCTGGCTAGGACTTGCATTGTTAAGCAATTGTATTATTTGGCAGATGTTTTCTTTTGGGTGGGGTTGAGAGCATGAAGAGATGAGATGTTGGCTCCCATGCCTCAGATCCCTCTTTTCTATTAGATTAAACATTGGATTAGATCTTCTGCTTATTGTTTTCATGAAACTATTTATCTTATTTATTTGCAGAATGAATAATCATTGGAAACTGAGTATATTAGCTCTTTGCCTTTTAAATATCTGGCAATTTTCTCCCAGTAATTTATTAATTTTGTTTCAGAAATCGTTTACTAAACAAGATTTTATTTTAAATGTAATTGGCCTGCTATTCTTTTTCTTTATGGCTTGCAGGTTTGTAGTCTTACTTAAGTGGACCTCTTCAAGATCTACATTATTCTTTCTTATTTTCTTGTGGTACTTTAATGGTGTATATATTTGTGTATATAACACTTAGCTCTTTAATCCATGTACAATTTTAAAATTTATCATATGAGATAGGGGTTTAATTTCATTCATAATAGATAAGCAATTTTTACAATAGTTATTAAATGGTTCCTTTTTCCATGGATTTAAAGTATCAAGGTGTTTCAGAGGGAATTCACAGGACAGGGAAGCGTTGAATGTGAGGAGACTGAAATAAAAAAGATCCAGATGGGTGATTGGGACCAAGTGCACAGTGGCGGCAATGGGAAAGTGATGCATGTCATTGAAGAAATGACCAGCATGGCTGTCCTGGAGCCAAGAAACACATGGCTTATAATGATCATTTCAGTGAAGTAGCCAAGGGTTGAATTGTTCAGTTTATAGACGAAGAAATGGGACTTCAGATAGGTGAAGACTTATGCCTGGTCATACAGCTACTGCAAAATCTTTTATGCAAACTGAATTTTTCTGGTACCAGGTGACCAATAAGTGGTCTTTGCTCAATGCCAGGCCTGGTTCTTTAATTTGAAACAATCTCTTGCAGACATATTGCCATCTTGGAACACTGCTGGCGTTGCTAGTTTATTCTTTTTAAATTATCATTTTTTTTCCTGCGTTGTGCCTTTAGCTTCCTAAAGCTATGGATGTTAGTTTCTATCTGTCTGATAACTTGACATGTGCCTTCTAAGTGTTTATGGGAAAAGAGAAAGGGAGAAGGAGTCTTGTCCTCTATCTCATTGAAGGCTTCCCAGTCTACCTTCCAGGCATTGAGATTTGTACTTAGATGACTATAGCAGCCTCTCCTTGGTACAGTACGGTTAGACATATCCCAAAAATAGTTTTTTGCATGCAGTTATGTGGAACACTCACTAAGGCTCAAGCTCTCTATCTAGGACTTGCATTGTTAAGCAATTGTATAATTTGGCAGGTGTTTGAGTGGAGTTGAGAGCATGAAGGGATGAGACATTGGTTCCTATGCCTCACATCCCTATTTTCCATTAGATTAAATATTGGACTACTGGTATCCAAGGATATAACTCATTATACCTCTGAGGGTCTAAAAATTCTGTATTTTGTTTGCAGCAAATAGCAGCAAAGTATGCAGCAATGAAGAGGACAGGTGAGCCACTACCTTTACCTGAGCAACAGGTGCCATTTCTACCATGAAGGAGCCCAACCAACATCTTCCTCTATATGAGTCACCAGTAACACATAGACAAACCAGAGTTCTGCCCCAAACAACAGTAAAGAAATGCCAGTGTCAAATACATTGCACATCCCTGGAATAGCCCTCTGGCAGACATGGGCAGTGACCAGAAACCCACTGGAAAGCCTGACCAGGAAGGTGTTATTCATATGACCTATCACTCTTCCTACCTCATGGTAAGCCCCCATCTGGGATAGTATACAGCTACTGGAGTTTAATAATTAATGATTGCTTTTGAATATTCAAATGCTGAAGACATTTGCGTGAGGAGAAATGTGGTACCACCAGTAGACAAAATGGTAAGTGACAAACAGGGAACAGGCCCATAGACTCTGGAAGTAATTTAGAGCCAACTGTGTGTCCAAGATCAGTCCTGCTGAGAAGCTAAGAGTCAGTGGTCACAACACACCAAACAGCTCACAGTGCCAGGCAATGTTGTATTGTCTTTAAAGAGTCTTTTGGTGGCAGGACACAATGCACTGGCACTGGGGTAGATGAAAGGCAGAACTCTTGCTATTTATAGCTCCAAGTAAGAAAAGTCTTCTAGGCAGGGCTGCACAGGGTTTTGCACCTGGTGACCAGGGAAGTGGAAGTTGGAGGTTTACAGGATAGGGCAAGCACCGTCTATGTATGGCAACTGGGGAAGATTTTGCTGCATTTCCCTGGCTCCCTGTGGATTAGCTAATTTGAATAATTGTATACACTTCTGCGCATACTATTTGTCTTTGGTTGCCTATTACCGGGCCCTGGGTTGATTAAGGTGAGTACATCATGGCCTGGAGTATGAGAGCCTAATAAAGGAGTAGTTTAAGGTGCGGATTTAATGAGTTGGTCAAGGAGAACTGACAGGTGTTTTTTTTAATTTAATGTTTTTAGGCAGGGCCTCAAAACTGGCTCAAGAGAATATTTTAAAAATTATTTTATTGAGGTATGCTTAACATATAAAAAGCTGTAGAAATTTAATGGGACCCATATCAATGAGTGTGGAGATAAGTATATGCCTGTAAACCTATCACTACCGTAAAGGCCATAAGCATATCCATCATCTCCAAAATTTCCTTCCACCCCATTAATATGGCATTAAAATATCTATACTATTTTAGAGATTCAAACAAGACTTGGAAGGACAAGTGAAAAAGGAATTTTAAGACCTATTCTAATAGGCTACAGCATATACACACAAAGAATTATGACTTCAACAAATGTTATTGCTCCTTTGGGGGAAGAAGAATATTTGGCAGAGAATTATATCTAAATAGTTCAGGTAGAAAGAAAAATTGATTGGTAAAAATTAGTAGATAGGATTGACACTTGGAATTCATGGTTTAATGAATGACTCAAGTACCTGAAACCCACTTTAAGAATCTGCTAAATTGGCTAAGTAAATCTTGGTTTCAGGGGTGGCCTCTGGTTAATGAGATTGAGGTTCCAACATCTCCCTCTATAATGTAATGTAATTGATCCAAAGTCTCAGGGAGATAGGAACGTTGGAATTAATCTGTTATGCACAACCGGCCCATTCATTCTTTATTCACATGCCCTGAGAGAGGGAGCCTGAAAAAAATCCACCCTTTACCAAGGCATTGAAGAAATTCTTTGATGACAGGGCCATCGGTATTCTGGAAAAGTGCTGTAGTTTCTGACCTCTGTAAAATGGAGATGATGTGGGAAATGGGAGATACCACATTGGAACTGAGTTTTTGATCTCACTGGTAACAATGAGAATGTTTATAGGTAGAGGTCAGGTGGTAGCTTTTAACACTCAGACACATGAGGAAAATAATTAGAGTCACAAACCATACAAAGAAGGTGGTTTTGTATCCTCAGTGATAAACATGCAAAGTAATTTGTTTGCTCGGGTTTTAGAAATAAATGAGGTTACAAAACAAATATGTTGCCTATTGACATTTATAAGAAGAAAAAATTTAGATCCAGAAGGCAGAAACCTTACTTGAGTCATCATTGTGGAGATTCTTGACCTTTTTTTTTTTTTTTTATGAGTGTGGGTAAATTTGTATTATACATTTCCAGAAGTAGCATGACTGGTTTAAAGTATGTAATTTTGATAAATTCTGATAAATGCTCTCCATAGAAGGAGCAACATTTTATGCTCTCACCAGCAATTTAAGAGTGTGTTTGTTTTCCAATAGCATCATCAAAAGAGATTGTTAACAAACTGTCCAGTTTGGGCCAATCAGGAAATAGGAACACTTTTACACTGTTGGTGGGACTGTAAACTAGTTCAACCATTGTGGAAGTCAGTGTGGTGATTCCTTAGGGATCTAGAACTAGAAATACCATTTGACCCAGCCATCCCATTACTGGGTATATAGCCAAAGGATTATAAATCATGCTGCTATAAAGACACATGCACACGTATGTTTATTGTGGCACTATTCACAATAGCAAAGACTTGCAACCAACCCAAATGTCCAACAATGATAGACCAGATTAAGAAAATGTGGCACATATATACCATGGAATACTATGCAGCCATAAAAAAGATGAGTTCATGTCCTTTGTAGGGACATGGATGAAGCTGGAAGCCATCATTCTCAGCAAACAATCGCAAGGACAAAAAAACCAAACACTGCATGTTCTCACTCATAGGTGGGAATTTAACAATGAGAACACTTGGCCACAGGAAGGAGAACATCACACACTGAGGCCTGTTGTGTGGTGGGGGTAGTGGGGAGGGATAGCATTAGGAGATATACCTAATGTAAATGACGAGTTACTGGGTGCAGCACACCAACATGGCCCATGTATACATATGTAACAAACCTGAACGTTGTACACATGTACCCTAGAACTTAAAGTATAATAAAAATATACATATATATATAAAATAAAAAATAAAATATTCTTGACCTCTTAATCCATTCCAAAAATGGAGCCAGTTTATAGACCTAGAACATCTTCATTGAAAGGAAGCCAGAATCCATTCAGAAAGAACTTTGCAATGTGGTAATAGATATATATTTTGAATTTTCTTTCATACCTTTTCAGAAGGAAAGAAAATGCCAGATCTGCAGGGATTTTATCTGCTGACTATGAACTGTTTCTGGGAAGTAATAATGAAGTGGGGGAACTTATGATGATCAGATAATAAATGGAGTCTTGGCCCCATTCACCTTTTGTGAAACCTCAGACTCATTCTATAGTTATTTTTCACATTCCCAAATTTAAGAGGGTATAGATATAAGTAGTAACTATCAATATTCCCAAATTGTTTCTCTGATCCAGGGAGAAAGGACATGATGGAAAGAAGGCCAAAATACAAGCCACTAGAATTGCACCTGCCTAACCCTGCCTTGTAGAAAACAAAATAAAACAAAAATCCCTAGAGAAATTACAGAGATTAGTGCCACCATCACTGACTTGAAATATGCAAGAGTGCTAATTCCCACCACATCCCCATTTAACATGCCTATTTGCACAGTGTAAAGCCAGATGTGTCAAGGAGAATGACAGTCGATTATCACCCACATAATTAGATAGTGATTCCAATCACAGCTGCATTTCCAGATATGGTATCTCCCTTGGAGAAAATTAACACAGGCCCTGACACCTGGTATAAAGCTATTGAAATAGGAATACCTTTTCCCCCTATCTGCACCAGCAAAGGAAATCATAAGCAGTTAGCTCTCATATCATGAATATAAGCGTATACCTTTTCTGTCATGTTTTGGGTCAGTATCAAATATCCAGCTCTCTGTCATAAAATATTCTGGACTAGGCACATTCATTGCTTTGATATTTTGCAGAATGCAACACTGACACATTGTACTTCTGATTATATGATTATTTCACAACGAATAAGTAGGAAGCAGACAGCATCCTAGAGCCTTAGTAAAAACACAGGGGTACTAAAGGGTGGCAAATAAACCCCTTAACATTCGGGGCTGCATAAAACTAATGAATTATCTTGGAGTTCATTGGTCTGTGTCTTGTTTGCTAATGAGACAGAAGGAAAAAAGTATTATGCCTGGCAGCATTCACTATTGATAAACAGACACAACACTTAGTGGGTCTCGCTTGAATTTGTAAGGCATTGTATATCCTGTTTGGCCCTACTTTTCTAATTAATTCCCTGAGTAATTTGGAAGACTTGTAATTTTGAATTGGGCCCACAGCAAGAAAGGATCTATAATAGGTCCAGATTGCTGTGCTAAATGCCCTGCCACTGGGACTTATGATTCGGAAACCACTGTTATCCATAGTGCCTGGGTAAGAGGGATAATGTTCATGGAGCCTTGACAAACTCAGTGAGAGATTAGGAGTCTCAAATTACAGAATTTGGGTGTAAGGTTATGCCCTTTTCTGTTTTTTTTATTTATTTATTTTATTATTACTATACTTTAAGTTCTAGGGTACATGTGCACAATGTGCAGGTTAGTTACGTATGTATACATGTGCCATGTTGGTGTGCTGCACCCAGTAACTCGTCATTTAGCATTAGGTTTATCTCCTAATGCTATCCCTCCCCCCTCCCCCCCACCCCCACAACAGTCCCTGGAGTGTGATGTTCCCCTTCCTGTGTCCATGTGTTCTCATTGTTCAATTCCCACCTATGAGTGAGAACATGCGGTGTTTGATTTTTTGCCTTTGCGATAGTTTGCTGAGAATGATGATTACCAGTTTCATCCATGTCCCTACAAAGGACATGAACTCATCTTTTTTTATGGCTGCATAGTATTCCATGGTGTATATGTGCCACATTTTCTTAATCCAGTCTATCGTTGTTGGACATTTGGGTTGGTTCCAAGTCTTTGCTATTGTGAATAGTGCCACAATAAACATACGTGTGCATGTGTCTTTATAGCAGCATGATTTATAGTCCTTTGGGTATATACCCAGTAATGGGATGGCTGGGTCAAATGGTATTTCTAGTTCTAGATCCCTAAGGAATCACCACACTGACTTCCACAATGGTTGAACTAGTTTACAGTCCCACCAACAGTGTAAAAGTGTCCCTATTTCTCCACATCCTCTCCAGCACCTGTTGTTTCCTGACTTTCTCCATTTGAAATATGGTTTCTGGCTCTCACGGAGCCTTCAGGGCCTTGGTTGAGACAAACCCTTTACATGAGTGTGGTAGACAGAATATTTCCTCCTCCCCCAAAGATGATCACATCCTAACCCCTAGAATCTGTGGATATATTACTTTACATGGCAAAAGAACCATGTAGATGAGGCCAGGTTAAGGATCTTGAGCTGGTGGGGAAATTATCCTGGATTATCTTAGTGTGGACCCAGAATAATCACAATGGTACTAATAAGAAGAAAGCTGGAGGGTCATAGTTAGAAAAAAGGGATGACAGAAGAGGATTAAGAGAGAGTGGCCGGGCATGGTGGCTCAGGCCTGTAATCTCAGCATATTGGGAGGCCGAGGTGGGTGGATCATCTGAGGTCAGGAGTTCAAGACCGGCCTAGCCAACATGGTGAAACGCTATCTCTACTAAAAATACCAAAAATTAGCTGGGCATGGTGGCACATGCCTGTAATTTCAGCTACTTGGGAGGCTGAGGCAGGAGAATTGCTTGAACCTGGGAGGCAGAGGATGCAGTGAGCCAAGATCACGCCATTGCACTCCAGCCTGGGCACTAAGAGCAAAAATTTGTCTCAACAAAAACAACAACAACAAAAAAAAAAAAGAGAGAGAGAGAGAAAGAGAGATTAACATTGAAGACTGCTGCGTTGTTGATTGTGAATGAGAATGGTAGCATGAACAAAAGAACACAAATGCTTCCTAGAAGCTAGAAAGGGCAAGAAAACGGATTATTCTTTAAAGCCTCTAGAAAGAATGCAGGCTTGCTAACACCTTGATTTCTGAACTTCTGACCTCCAGAACTATAAGGGAGTAAATATGTATTGTTTAAGCCACTAAATTTGTAGTGAATTGTCACATCGTCAATGGGAAACTAATGCGATGAGACACAAAATCATAATTCAAGCTCTACTGCTCATTGTGTACTTGCTATTATCTGATTCACAAACACAAATAACTACCTACGTACTATATATATATATATATTTATACATGCATAAATATCTTTGAAAGTTAAAAATATATATGCACAACAGTTTTAAATTTTATAATGGAAATGATAATCAGAAGACTGGGTCTAAGCAGGGTCTGAAGAGTAAAAAAAAAAAAATGCATAAGCAGGTGTTACCAATTCCTCTACTAGATCTCCCTTTTGTTTTTCTTCATTCCCTGAGTTCACATCTATGGTCTCTGTTAAAATTAATGGAACAGGAAGCAACAGGAACCTGTTTTGTAAATATATTTGCACATTCTGCTGATATTAGAAGTGAAAGACTTCTTCTCTACAGCCCTACACAGAAATAGCTCTAAAAGACAATGGAGAAGGGAACTCATCCACATGGACAGATCCTTGCATGGTACCATTTGTTGTTCTATTCCATGAAAGGCAAGAAAGCCAGAGATAGACATCTATATAATCATAAGCAATAGCTAATGCTTTGACCAGGTGATGAGTGGCTAACTGAAAAGAAAACAGTGGTGCAGAAAGTCTCAGGAAAAGGTGTATGGATGCATGGGCATGGAGTGTAAAGGTATGCTGCACAGAAATACTAATCAAAATGCAATTGCTGAAAAAAAAGCACCATTATTAGATGTATGAGATAAATACTGTAAATCAGACTCTTTCCCCAGATTCCCTAGTGCTAATTCAAAGACCTCATGTATAAACTTGTAATAGTGGCAGGGGTGGGGGATACACAGGAGTTCAACAATGTAGACTTCCTCTCATCAAGGCTAATCTGGCTATTACCAATGTTGAGTGCACAACACGCCTATAGCAGGAGCCGATGCTGAATCCCTAATGTCTTCTCATTTATCTAGGAAAATAGTTGACAACATAGTGGAAACACAATCACATATTTTATCTTTGAGGGAGCATGGAGGGGGAGTTTGTTTTCTTAGCAATGGCTTTACTTACTTCTCTGGTTTTACACACAGTATTGTCTTGGCCGACTGGAATTATTTTACAAGAAGGAGAGTGTGATGGCAATGGATTCACACTCACAGAAGTAACTAGTCTATTATGTTCAAAAACCCAGAAAAAAATAGCCCTGGGAGAGTGGCACAACCCACTGAATGCTGAGTTAGAGTGCCTGCAATGTTGGGATGTCATTCTACCCAATGTGGCAACTGCCATAAATCAGCAACTGATATAAATTATCTGTTTCATAATCAGAATGCATAGGGCTGGGAACCAAGAGTTGAAGGTGATATAGTCAGTTATGTAATTACCCCTAAATATGTAGCTTGTAAAATATTTTAACTTCACAATTTTAGAGGTATTTGGTTTTGTGATCTTTGAGCCCAAAATCAAATGCTTTCACTAAAGAATGTAGTCAGAATTTTATTTAATTACAGGTCTGTGACTGTCCTCTGATCAAGGTGGGTTTCTCTTGTTGTTGAACAAATGAAGAGAAAGAGAATATGTTCTAGCCAACTAGATTGTTCCCAATCACCAGGAGAAAACTGGTTTCTAGTTCACTATGAAAAGTAAGAGGCAAATGTTGAAAAGCACAGCTATTCACTGGGGTATCTATTAGTACTATCTTGCTTTATAATCTTAGCTAATGAAAACTGAAACTACACAAACAGAAAATATCGCCAAGATGAAGGTTAAGTTTACGCCACTGGTTAAAAAGCCTGTCTCCCTGATTGGCTTCCCTAGGAAAGAGACATAGCAGGAAGAGTACTGGTAAAATGGAGACATAATCACAAATGTAGGTTTTCTGATCAGCTTAAGAAGTGAAAACTGGACTATATTATAATGATTGGTTCTTTTCTCCACCTTAACCACAGTACCTTACATGCAGAACACTAGTGATAACTAATCCATTCAATTTCAGGTAAAAGTTGAAATGAGTTGATGTTGCCAATAGTAATATGGTTGTTGCTGGGAGTCAAGTTCTCCCATATTATAAAAATTAAGTTTTTACCAACATAGATGTAAGAGTGAATACTGTGGGAATAATGGAGTAGACTGTTTTAGAGATCTTCTATTATGTCTCTTGACTCGTTTTCCACTTTCTTTATCTATTCTATGTTCTGGGTGGCTAATCTGTATAGACTACATGAGATCCCTTGCTTCTGATTGTTTAAAACTGTGAACACTAGGAGATCAGAGAGAGGGAGAGCGAAGAGTGGGGTTTTGGCATTTATTCTTTTGGCTTACTCCTTGGTGGCTGCTGCAGACTTCTTGTAACTCTACGAAGCCGTGTAACCTAAGCTACTTATCCTGATTTCCAGTGACCTTGCTCTCTCATTCCTCTTTAAGGGCTATGAGTAACTATAGCACCCAGGGGTCCTACATTTTCCCTTTTGGTTTCCATAGATTATTTTCTCACATCATAGTCTCCTTTTAAACTCTTCTCAGAGTCTGCTGGTTTGAATTAGCCCTTTTTCCTTCCTGAATGTTGACTGATACATGTCTCTACAACATGTCAGGCACCATACATATGTTAATATATCTGGAAATTTTAAAATTATACGCTGTTTTTCACTTGATGAAATGTCAACATTTCAAAGGTGCAAACATTTCATGTCTGCAAATTCAAAAGACACTAAGAAGCATAAATACTTGGACAAAGGTCAACCAAATGATTATGTTGTGTCACATGAATAGAGGAAATATCAGTTTGTTCTTAGAAAAGTCCAGATGCTGTGAAAGGGGTAAAATACAAAAACCTTGAAAATAAATGTTTATTATCATTTTAAGACAGAAAAGTAGTGCAAATAATTTATAACTTCCATTATAATTCAATAAACATTTCTTTTTCAAACTATCACTTTAACTCTCAGACATAAGAAAGCTCTGAGATTCACTCACAGTGAATGTCACCCTGTAAACCTGCTATGAACTAGGAAGGGCACCAGATATGGACTAACAGCTTATGTTTCATAAAATTATTTAACTTTTCCATGTGATTATTTTATTTGCTTTCTGTAAATTTGAACTGAAAGAATAACTTGTACTGGTAGAGTAATAATCTAGTTTGAAGTGTATTTAATTGCAAAGCATAGCAACATGTTAACATGATTCCCCAAAAAGTGACTTGGAAAAACATGAGTGAATGATCAGAAGATTGGGTTTAGCTAGCAGTTTCTACTAATGAACAAGAAGGAGACAATTTAAAATAATGTTCTAAGACTACACTATGATGAAGGATGTATAGTCAGAGCAAGTGATACAAATATGAACCAATTATAACAATTAAAAAATGATCTTAAGGTGTGCTCAGGAACTGAAAATGTTTATCTAAGATCTATGAAGCAAGTTTCCAGGAAGGCTTGCAGAAATCCACACTGATGCTTAGTTTTAGAGAAAGATTGAGTGTTTTTTTTCTAAAAAGAGAATACAAGAGGAGGTAGTTTATTTGAAACAATGCTATGTATTTAGTAGTAGAAATGTTAAATAGTCTCATATTCAGAGAAGATAAGTAATTTTGTATGGCTGAATATGGGTCAGGATGTGGAGAAAAGATAGGCTTAAAAAGGTAAGTTTAAGCAGAGCTAAAATTGTTGATGAATTGTGTATTTCACACAGAAGTATGAAAATCATATTAAAATTGTGGTGGTCTATATAATAATTTTAACAATAGGACCAGCATAATTAATGTAACATTCTACCACATTTGCTAATAATATTATTATCAGATGAATATGAAGGGGCTAAGCTGGAAAGTGGGGGTATATTAGAAAACTGTTACCTTAATGGAAAGCAGAATGCAGAGACTAGCCTGGATGGAAGAGCAGAATATGGAATAACTGAACTTAGGAGCAAATTGGCATGGGGGATAAGTGAGAGTGGGTATCCAGGAATGATGTTCAGGATTCCAGCTTGTGGAGTCTCACTATTGATATCAGTCAGAAGGATAGGAAACATTGTGAAGAAATGGATTTGAGAGAAAAGTAACATTTAAGTGTTTCTATGCTTAACTATGTCAGATACCAATGGTAAAAGTTTAATTTTATGTGCTGATAGTGTACAGTCTTTAAAACACAATGCTAAAGACAATGAAAATGTTAAAGACAGTAGACATTTAGGGAAAGAAAGGTGCTGGCATGGGATCAGCTGTTCGATGAGTACATCAAGGACTTGGATCTTTTGCTTTTTCCCTCCGTGTTGCTCAGCATGAAGCTGTACATCAACACATGTGATGTGTGTCTATGTGAGGATTGAAGTAGCTTCAGGCTCTCATCTTTTAATAGGATTAGGAGCAAAGCAGAATGGTGATACTGGCCACTTTTCTTTCTCTACTCAATGCCTCATCCTCTCACATAGATCCATTAGCTAAAATGAGTAGAAAATGACAGTGTACCTAACTCTCTATTTCCTGTGAAAGGAAAAAGAGAGTTAGGCATGGATTTTGAGTTAGTGAGTTAACAGTGTCTGCCATAGGGAAATCGGGATTTTTAAAATGCTATATGAAACTCAAATCTAAGTATATCAATAATTAGCATTAACACAAATGGGATAAACACATTCACTAAATGGCAACTAGCTTCAGATAGAATTGTTTAAAAAAAGTCTAGTAATGTGTTAGGACATGCATGTAAATCATGGTCACACAGAAAAGCCGAAAATAAAGCAATGAAGACTGGTACCCAGCAAAATATAAGTCCCACATAGAAACATCATATATTAGACAAATATATTTTAATATAAAACCATTAGTAGAGATTAAGAAATATAGCAATTAATTAATAATATAAATTTAAAAATTATTTCAATAATCATTTTTTGATTAATTGGGTTATATAATGACATAATTGTCAATTATTTATTAATAATATTAATAGAAATTTAATGAATTATAAACAATAAACTAAGAAAAATTACAACAATTGAGTTCTTGTGTGAACACTGTGAACTAGCCTCTAAAATACAGGAAGCAAAGAGAAAAAGAGATATATTCACAAAAGAATTATAAATGTCATTAAATTGGGAAATACCCATCAGGGTGAAAATTGCATAAAAGTTTATCATAAACAAACATATCAGACAAATATATATTAGTAAGTATATGCAACAAATAAATAACTCAATTAAACATTTAAAGCCAGGCCGGGTGCACTGGCTCACACCTGTAATCTCAGCACTTTGGGAGGCCGAGGCGGGATGATCACCTGAGGCCATGAATTCAAGACCAGCCTGGCCAACATGGTGAAACCCCATCTCTACTAAAAATACAAAAATTAGCTGGGCATGGTGGTGTGTGCCTGTAGTCCCAACTGCTCGGGAAGCTGAGGCAGGAGAATTGCTTGAACCTGGGAGGTGGAAGCTGCACTGAGCCAAGGTCACCCAGCCTGGGCAACAGAATGAGAGTCTGTCTCAAAAAAAAGAAAGAAAGAAAAAAAGAAAAAAATTAAAGCCAGTGTTTGTTTTGAGCTCACATATAACATTTATGAATATGTATTAATAACTCGATTATAAAGGAATTACAAATCTCTAAATATACATAACACATAGAGGATAATGTAATTTACAATCAATAATAATAAAAAGCAAAATGTATATATGTTAGAAAATAAAACATAATTCTTAGGTTCAAGGAAATATAATATGCATCAATATTTCTGATTGAAAAATTGAGACATATGGATGAAAATTAAATGTTAAATAAATAGTACAAATAATTTTAAACACATTGTTGAGCTCAAAATAAATAAACTGAAATTATGAGTTTCAGACTCAAGGAATGACCATAAAATTAGTGAAAAAATTCATGAGATAAAGTTACAGAAACTAAGGGATAGGTTGCTCCCAATATTGTCACCATATCTAAAGATTAAATATCTATGCAAGATATTTTGATTAGAGAAGTGGGCCAAATAAATGAGGGGTGAGCTAGGAAAGGGACATAGAAACTGTGTGGGGCTCTCTTAGAAGGAAAAGTACCCTGTCAAAATTTAAAGTTACAGGCATTAATTTTGTAGGAATTTCCAATTGAGAAATAAATTTAAAGGCTCATTCCATATAATTGAAAACTCTGGAATTTCCAGCAGAAATAGCATGCCTAAAAAAATTATTTAATAAAGACCGCCATGGGTACATGAAATGCCTGCAGAAAAATGTGAAAATATGCTGAAGATAAAACCATAAGCAGAGCAATCCATATAATGGTTTGATGAAACTAAGGCTTAGGACTATAAATATAGATAAATAAGAAGCTGAAAGAAATACCAAGAATAATTTTCAAAATGGAAAAAAAAAAAGCGGAGAAAGTATTGTAAAATTAAAGATATGTAGGGCAATTAAAATGTATGGTTTCACAAATATGGAGATGGAAAGACCTATATTCAAAATGTCAGTTTTCCCCAAACATACCTACAATTTAAAAATTAGAACAGGCATAAATTGCATAGTCAAAATTTGAAAAGATATGGGTATTTCACTATAAATTATTCATACATGTATGCACTTTTCTTTTTTTTTTCTTTTTAAATTATTTTTTAACAGCCATCTTGCCCTGTCACCCAAGCTAGAATTTGGGGGGCCTCAGAGAGGGGGAATCACAGCTCACCGAAACTTCGAGCTCACTGGCACAAGTGATCCTGTAGCTAGGATCACAGGGGCACACCACCATGCTACCATGCCTGGCTAATTTTTTTTTTTTTTTTTTTTTTACTTTTAGTAGAGAGAGGTTCACCCTATGTTGCCCAGGTGGTTCACAAATTCCTGGCCTCAAGTAAAGTAATTCTTCTGCTTCAGCTTCCCAAAGTTCTGGGATTATAGTTGTGAGCCACCACACCAGGCCTAAATAATAATTTTAAAACATATCAAAACAAAAGACAAAATTGAAGACAGCATTATTCCACAAAAGATAAGATTTTAATTTTCCATGCTTGAGAAAAAAAATAATATTTATAAGGCATAAATAAAATACAAGTCTAAGACAAAGTGAAAAACAACCAAGATAATTATGATAAAATACTATAAACAAAAAGTTACAGTAAAGAGATCCTATATTTCCAACAACAAATTTGAAAAAAAAATAAATACAATAGGAACCCAGAAAATGCAAATAAACATATTATGTGATACTATTTCACATTTACCAGAGGAATACATTGTAATTCTGAAAATACTAAGATTTCAAGATATGTGAAAAAACAGGAACTCTTATAAAGTCCCATTGGAAGTATGAATTGGATAAAAAATGTCACATATAAATTTAGTAATTTGTAGTAAACATAAAGCTATGCATACTGACAGAATAGCACTTTCACTTCTGGCCAAATACTCTAGAAGCCCTACCACATATTCAAAAGAAATCATATATTAGAATATAAATTGCAGAAATATCTTTTGCTAATTGTGAAAATGCATGAAGCCTAAAACCTTAAAGTAAAAGAAGAAATGATGGGTGTACTTTATTAATACAATCATGTCTTATTTAACTACAAGGGTATATTCTGAGAAATGCATTATTAGGTGATTTCATCATTGTGCAAATCATGGCAGCTGCGGCCTGTCTGGTGCAGCTCCTGTGAAGATGCCGACTGCAGTGGGGAAGGTGCAGCCAGGGTTGTGTGCTCTGTGGGACTGCTGGGAGCTGAGGACAAGCGGGAGTCCTGCCCTCCACTGAGTTGGCAGGATGGAAGCCCCTCGCTTCTGGAGGCAGCCATAGCTGCTTAGCCATGGCTCCAGATACAGGCATCTCTGTGCTCCCAGGAGCCCGGGAAGCCCCATGCCCCTCCATTCTTGAAAGTGCCTGCTCCCATTCCTGCTGCCTGCTCCAGGACAGAGCAAAGTTGTGGCTGAGCCTGGGCACTGTTGCAACATGGCCTTGTGTGCACACTCAGGGCTACGCTGACATGCCAGCCCCCGGCTGCCTCAACCCCATCTGGACTTCTGGTGCTGACAAGCACATTAGGGAGACCAAGGGGGCATGAGAGTGACTCGGGGAGGTCCTGCAGGCAGACCTTGGCACAAACAGTCTAGGTGCCATGGCAGACAGGTTCCTGTATGGAAAAGGGCAGGTCCTTGGTGAAATCCCACCTTAAAGCCGGTGATGGCCTGAAGTCTGGGGGCCGGGCTGCCAGTTCCAGGTCGAGTCCTTGACCCAAAGTGAGAAATTACGGTGCTTTTTCCAGGCCCTCCCATGGTTGCCCATGGACCAATTGGCATACACTTCTTCCCTTCTGAGCCCATAAAAACCCCTGGAATCATCCAGACTCAAACAAATGTCAGGACTACCAGCTGTGGAAGGGTGCTACCCACTTCAAGTATCCTTGACTCGTTGGACGATCTGCTGTGGAAAGGAGCTACTCACTGCGGGTCTCCTCTGGGCTGAGAGCTGGACACTTGTGACAACGTGCCTGTAGAAAGAAACTACTTCATGTCTCCTGAGAGCTGCTCTGTCACTCAGTGAAGCTCCTCTCTGCCTTGCACACTCTCCATTGTCTGTCTATCTCATTCTTCCTAGATGTGAGACAAATGTTGGTCCCACTGAGTGGCAGGACTGAAAGAGCTGTAATAAAAATAGGGTTGAAACACGCACCCCCACTTGCCCTGTTGCTGGCAATGAGGAGAGAAGGGCTGTGGGCTTTGGGGAAGCCCAGACCTGTAGGATCTTCCCCAAGCCAGGGCTGGAACATCCTCCTTGGTGCTCTACAGTTCTTGGCATGTCCAAGCCTCTAGGCACCACTGCATTCCCCACCTCCAGACGTAGGTGATGACAGCGGAAGCCCTGTGCCCTACATCTGATCCAGTTGCAGCCTCGCACAAAGCTGGTGCCTGTGCCGGAGCCTGGAGCTGCCTGCCCGGCCGAAGCAGCCACTGTTCCTGGCTGTGTGTAGTGGTTGGACCCTGTGCTTGCTCACCCACACACACCTCGCCTCTCCACACCTGGCTTGCCCTTGGAAAGTGTTGCATCCAGGCCTTTAGAGCAAGACAAGTGCAGCCTGCTGGGTTGAGTGGGCAAAACAAAACCAGCAGGCACAGCACCTTCAGGAAGAAGGCACTCCCGGCCACAGAGGTTTCTGGCTGGTAAAGTGACACCCCAAGGATCCCATGACACAGACATCATAGAGTGTTTGTAAAAACACCTAGATGGTATAGTCCACTACACATCTAGGCTATATTGTGTAGCCTACTGCCCTCAGGCTACAAATCTGTATAACATGTTACTGTACTGAATACTGTAGGCAATTGTAACATAATGGTTAATATTTTTCTATCTAAACATATAAAGTGTACAGTAAAAATATGCTTTAAAAGATAAAAGATGATAAACTCATATAGACATTTGTGATGAAAGGAGCATGTAGGATCAGAAATTGCTTCCAGTGAGTCAGTGAGTGAGAGGTGAGTGAATGTGAAGATCTAGAACATTATTGTATGTTACTGTAAACTTTGTAAACACTGTACACTTAGGCAACACTGAATTATAAGACATAGTTTTCTTTCTTCAATAATAAATTAACTTTACCTGGCTGTAGCTTCTTTACTTTATACAGTTTTAACTTTTAAAACACTTCAGAATCTTTTGTAATAACACTTAGCTTAAAACACAAACACATTGTACAGCTATTTTCTTTGTTGATATCCATTTTCTATAAGCTTTTTTCTACTTTAGTTTTACTTTTTAAACTTTTTTTGTTAACAACATTTTTTTGTTAATACTACTACACACACACCAGCCTAGCCCTACACAGGATGGGGATCATCAGTATCACTATCTTCCACCTCCACTTCTTGTCCTACTGGAAAGTCATCATGGGCAATAACTTGCATGACACTGTCATCTCCTATGATAACAACGTCTTCTGGAATACCTCTTAAAGGATCTGCCTGAGACTGTTTTACAGTGAACTTTTATTTTTAAAAAGTAGAGGTTTATTTCTAAATAACAATAAAAAGTACAGCATAGTAAATACATAAATCAGCAACACAGTCATTTATTATCGTTACCAAGTATTGTGTACTATCTATAATTGTATCTGCTATACTTTTACAAAACTGGCAGTGCAGTAGATTTGTTTACATTGGCATCCCCAGAAACACATGGGCAATGTGTGGCACTAAGACATCACAACACCTATTGTATTCCTAGGCAATATAAAATTTTTAGCTTCCTATTATGATATGGTTCATTGTTGACTGATATGTTGTGTGGCACATGACTGTATAATGTACAATTTATAGCAGTTAAAAATGAATAAACAAATTCTAAGTAAAGGATAATGTATTACAGCATGAAAATAGGTCCACAATATATTCATGAAATAAAACAAGTTTTTAAAAACAGGAAGTCAATCTAAAATTTTATGCATAGAAAAGAAATCTTCATATAAAAATTTGTTTTTTCCTTCATATATGAAAGTGTCAAATATCTCCTAAGTTTAATGTGTTAAATTTATGAATGGATATGTGTGTATGCATAATAAAATGCAGAGAAAACACTACAATTAAGAACCCTAAAAGGAATACATACTATGATTTTTTTTCCCCACATAGTGTCACTCTGTCACCCAGGCTGGAATGCAGTGGTGTGATCTTGGCTCACTGCAGCCTCCGCCTCCAGACTTCAAGTGATTCCCATGCCTCAGTCTCCTGAGTAGCTGGGATTACAGGTGTATTCCATCATACCTGGCTAAGTTTAGTATTTTTAGTAGAGACGGGGTTTTGCCATGTTGCCCAGGCTGGTCTCGAACTCCTGACCTCAAGTGATCCATCTACCTTGGCCTTCCAAAGTGCTGGTATTATAGGCATGAGCCTCCACACCTAGCTTACACCAATTCCTTAACCAACCAATACAATAATGCAAAAAAAGTTAAAGTTAAAAAAACTACAAAAATAGCAAAGTTGGAACCAGAAAAAATTGCAAAAGAAGGAAGATGAAGAAAAGGGAAAAAAATAGATGAGACAAATAGTAAACAATTATTAAGATTGTATATTTTAATCAAATTATATAAATAATTCCCTTAAATGGAAATATTTTTAACATACCCAACTAAAAGCAGATGTCTGATATTTTAAAAGGGGATCAAACATATGCCAGCTAAAGGTACCAATTTCGATTCTAGATATTCATATAGATTAAAAGAAAAAAATGAAAATATTACTACAATAATAATAATTAACACAAATCTGCAATGGCTATATTAAGGCATAAAGCTGTATTTCAGTTAATATATATTAACAGCAGTAAAAGAGAGTCATTTCATAAGGACAAAGTAGTCAAATTATCAAGAAAACTTATTAATTCTAGACATTTTGAACATAAATATATAATTTCAAGATACATGAGGTTAAAATAAAAAGATATGGTTGCAAGCAGAAATAAACAAATCAAAAATTATAGTGGGAGATTTCAGTACCCCTTTACAACAATTGATAGAACAAGCGAACAGAAAATCAATTAGAGCACAAAAGATGTTATCAACACTATCAACCAGCTCAACCTGATCTAATTATTTAGAACATTTAATCAAAAACTGACTATTTTCAAGTCCTTTCAGGAAAATTAACAAGATACACCATATTTGGGATCTTGAAACAAGTATTATTATATATAAAATAATGCAATCATTGAAATGTATGTTGTCTGAACACTACATAATTAAAAGAGAAATAAATAACAGGAAGTTACATTAAAAATATCAAATATTGTGATATCAAATAATACTCTTATATAACTCTAATCAAAGAAGATATACAAAAAGGACATTAGAATTTATTTTAACTGAATTAAAATAATAACACAATATATCAACATTTGTGGGGTGCCACTAAAACAATATATGGGGTAAATTTACATTAATACACCACTATATTAAGAAAAATAGAAAAGTTCTCAAATCAATGATCATTGTAACAAACTTAAGGAAATAGAAAATGTAACAAATTTAATCCTAAGTAGAAGGAGAAAGAAAATAATAAATATCAAAGCACAGATGTATACAACTAAAAATATTTGATAATTTGAATTTCATCAAAATTAATACCTGCTTATTGAAAGACAGTTTTAAAAGGATGAAATTACAGGTATATTCTTAGAAAAAATATTTGCAAATTAAATATCTAATAAAACATCAAGAATGCAAAAACATCTAAAACTAAAATTAAAAGAAAATGAAATTAAACATGGGCACAATATTTGAACTGATAGCTTAGCAAACATGATAATGAAATGGTACATAAGACAGACAAAGATGCTTCACTGCATTAGTCTTTAAGGAAATGCAAATTTAATACGCAATGTGATATCACTACATATATTTGGAAAGTGTAAAAATTAAAAGTCTGGTTATACTAGTGTTGATAAGGATGAAGAACAATTGGAAGTCTCATATCCTACTGATGAGATGCAAATGGAAAAACAGTTCAGCAGTAAACCTACACCTATGATATTATCTACATGTCTCACTCCTAGGTATTCATTCAAAAGTAATGAAAGTATGTGTCTACACAAATACTCATACATGAATTTCTACACCACTTTTAGGGGAATGAAAATCAAAAATTAGCAACAACAAATGTCTAACAATAAGCATACTGTTGTATATCCGTGCATTTTACTTCTACTCAGTAATGAGCTATGAAAAAAAATTGTAAATTCTCAGAATACATACTCCTAGCAAAAAAAAAATCAATTTGTATAAATTTGAGACAATGCAATCTAATCTATAGTGAGAGAGAGAACGTCAGTTGTAGAAATTAGTTTGCTAGGAAGGAGAAGGTGGGAGGGATTATTACAAAGGGCCACCAAGGTACTTGTGATGGTAATGGATATATTTGGTATCCTTATTGTTGTGATCGTTCTACAGATATAGACATATGCCAAATTTTACAAAGTGTACATTTTAAACAAATATAATTTATCATATTGTAATTATAATTATGTATATATGTATACCTACATTTAAGTGTCATCTCAGAAAGGCACTATGCTTTCAAGGTAAATGTGTACTAATTATCCATACAGACAATTGCAATAATGTCAAATATCTTAGAGAAAATGAAAAGGAGAGAATGATATTTGACTTCTTTATTTAGTTTAGTTGTATTAGTCTGTTTTCATACTGTGATGAAGAAATATCCGAGACTGGGAAATTTATAAAGGAAAGAGGTTTATTTGGCTCACAGTTCTACATGGCTTGAGAGGCCTCAGGAAATTTACGATCATGGCAGAAGGAGAAGCAAATATGTTTTTCTTCATATGGCAGCAGGAGAGAGACATGCCAAGCAAAATGGGAAAAGCCTCATATAAAACCATCAGATCTCACGACTCACTCACTGTCAAGAAAAGAGCATGGGAGTAACTGCCCCCATGATTCAATTACCTCCCTTCAGGTCTCTCAATGACATATGGAGATTATGGGAACTACAATTCAAGATAAGATTTGGGTGGGAACACAGAGCCAAAGCATATCTTTCCAACCCTAGACCCTCCCAAATCTCTTCTTTCTCACATTTCAAAAGACAATCATGCCTTTTCAACAGTCCCTTAAAGTCTTAGCTCATTCCAGCATTAACCCAAAAGTCCAAGTTCAAAGTCTCATCTGAGACAAGGCAAGCCACCTATGAGCCTGTAAAATCAAAAGCAAGTTAGTTACTTCCTAGATACAATGGGGGTACAGACATTGGGTAAATACACTTGTTCCAAATGGGAGAAATTTGCCAAAACAATGGGACCACAGGGCCTACACAAGTCCAAAATCCAATAGAGCAGTCATTAAACCTTAAAGTTTTAAAATAATCTCTTTTGACTCCATGTCTCACATCCAGGGCATGCTGATGCTAAAAGTGGGCTCCCACGGCCTTGGGCAGCTCCAACTCTGTGGCTTAGTAGGGTGCAGCCCCTCTTCCAACTGCTTTAACAAGCTGGCATTGAGTGCCTATGGCTTTTCCAGGTGCATGGTGCAAGCTGTCAGTGGATCTAGCATTCTGGGGTCTGCAGAATGGTGGCCGTCTTCTCACAGCTCCACTAGGCAGTACCCTGGTAGGGACTCTGTGTGGGAGTGCCAACTCCATATTTCCCTTCTGCGCTCCCTAGCAAATATTCTCCACGAGGGTTCCACCCCTGCAGCAAACTTCTGCCTGGACATCCAGGCATTTCCATGCACTCCCTAAAATCTAGGCAGAGGTTCCCAAACCCCAATTCTTGACTTATGTTCACCCACAGGGTCAACACCACATGGAAGCAGCCAAGGCTTGGGGCTTGCACACTGAAAAGCAGTGTACCAAGCTGTACCTTGGCTCCTTTTAGACATGTCTAGAGCAGAAGCAGCTGAACATAGGGCACCATGTCCCAAGGACACACAGAGCAGGGGGCCCTGGGCCTAGCCCAGGAAACCATTTTTTCTTCCTAGGCTCCAGGCCTTTGGTTGGAGGAGTTGTCACGACGGTCTCTGACATGCCCTCAAGACATTTTGCCCATTGACTTGACAACTGACATTCAACTTATCATAGCTTATGCAAATTTCTGTTGCTGGCTATAATTTCTCCCCAGAAAATGGGTTTTTATTTTATCTCACATCATCAGGCTGCAAATTTTCCAAATGTTTATGCTCTGCTTCCTCTCACACAATTTGCTGCTTAGAAATTTCTTCCACCAGATAACCTAAATCATCTCTCTAAATTTCAAAGTTCCAAAGATCTCTAGGGCAGGGGCAAAACGCCAGCAGTCTGTTTGCCAAAACATAACAAGAATCACCTTTATTCCATTTCCAAATAAGTTCCTCATCTCCATTTGAGACCACCTCTGCCTGGACTTCCTTGTCCATAGCATTTTAGTCAAAGCCATTCAACAAGTCTCTAAGAAGTTCCAAATTTTCCCACATTTTCCTATCTTCTTCTGAGTCCTCCAAACTGTCCCAACCTCTGCCTGTTACCCAGTTCCAAAGTCACCTCCACATTTTTGAGTATCCTTACTGCAGCACCCCACTCTTGGTACCAATTTATTGTATTAATCCATTCTCACACTGCTGTGAAGAAATACTTAAGACTTGGTAGCTTATAAAGAAAAGAGGTTTAACCAGTCGCAGTTCTAATGGTTGGAAAGGCCTCAGGAAACTTACAATTATGGCACAAGGGGAAGCAAACATGTCCTTATTCACATGGTGGCAGGAGAGAGAAGTACCAAGCCAAAGGGGGAAAGCCCCTTATAAAACCACCAGATTACATGAGAACTCACTATGACGAGACCAGCATGGGGTTAACTGCCCCCATGATTCAATTACTTCCCAGTGTGTCCCTCCCACAATACATGGAGATTATGGAAACTACAACTCAGGATGAGATTTGGGTGGGACCGCAAAGCCAAGCCATATCAACAACATCAAAAAGTGACACAAAATTTAACAAAATATGCAACAATAGTATTTCAACGCCAAATCCCTCATAGTTTAATAACATTAAGGATATTTACTATGTGTGGGATGTTTCAATTGAGAGCACATCAAACAGTAGTCATATGGAAGAAAGAATAATCAAGCACATGCTTGAATATGGTCTTTGATAAAGTGATAATTATCAATATATTGATTGCAGTCAGAGATGTGAACATGTAACCATACCGAACATACAAAGACTGTGGTAGAGAGATTTTTATGTACGATATTCTCGTAAGTGTTTCTTCTCTCAACCCTGGAGGGTGGAAGATAGTATAGCAGGATTAGTTCCATGTATCAATTCATAGACACCCATTAATCATTATAATTTCCCCCACTTCTGTATTTGCAAATAAGTTATATAACTTCTTTGCTATAAAATTACAATATTTCATTTGGGAAAACCAGAAGTGCAAGGAGAAAACTGGGCATGGTATATATTTATTTAAATTTATCTGAGTTAAAAGGCTACAGTAAAGTGAAATAGGCTGAGAAATACATCATCATGCCAGAAGGAAGAGATCCTATAGAAGATTAACTTTTCAAAAATTATTGATTAAATAAAGAATTTAGTCATCTAAATGAAGTGGTGTTTCAACTTTGCCCACACTTAAACTTAGTTCATATAATTCAAAAATGGAAAACAACCAAAATTCCCACTAACATACCAATGGATAAATAAATTTTGATAAGCTACACAAATAAATATTAAATAAAAATACTTTATATGTATATGCATATGTATATGTATATGTGTTCACATGACACCATGAATGAAATTCAAAAATGTTATTTTGAGTGATGGGGGCCACAAATAAAATAGTACATGTTTGATGATTCTATTTAATTATTTTCACAAAGGGTCATAACAAATTGATACTTGTGGAAGTCAGAAGAGTGGTTATACTGGGCCAGGAGCTATAGACTAATAATGTGTGCCAGGAAACCTAATGGGATGCTGGAAAATTTTTTTGGTAAGGATTAGTAGGTAGCAAATTATTAACATATATACATAATATTATTTCATGTTATACATTTTACTAAATATAGGCTATCCTCCAAAAAATGATATAAACTAATTAAAAATGTAGGAGTATATTATCGTCATGGTCTGAAAGTGTCAATACTGTAAAAATATCAGTGCTACAAAAGCATTATTTTAAATAAGTGGAAATGCTTTGAATTCTTTATTATTACTTAAATTCATTATTAATTAATCATTAATGTGTTTGTAGGCTTTATTTACATTTACTTAATTTTTGGCATGTTTGCCTCAAAGAAAGCACCCAATCAGATATGCCACCACTCAGTGATTGCCTTAGAATATGATGCTATATAAAGCTAGGATTAGATGTGAAGAGATGATTTTCATCAATAAGTGAGCTGGACGCATATTTCATTCCCATGAAATAACGTATGAGTTCAATTAAATTCCCAGAAATATTCCAAAAGGCTTTTTGCTAGGATTTAGTAGGCTCATTTTAAATATGGGTGGAAAATAACATATTGACCTAAAGTGACTATAGAACCACTAAGGTCATAGCAAAAACATTCTTGGGAAAAGAAAAGTAATGTTGGATGATGTATAGGACCATATATTGAAAATTATCATTAAGTATCAATAATTAAAACAAGGTGATGATGATGTAAATATAAAAAAAAATTGACCAAAGGACCTGGGAAGTTAGTCCAGATATAGATAAATACATGTATAGTCATCAAAGTTATAAAAACATTCCTGTAAATTACAATGGGGGAGAAGTGTCCTTTCCAAAAATAAATAGTGAAGGATGAATTGAAAAGCTTTATATAAATAAAATAAATTATGAGTTTTACATTGCTATATGAAAAAACTACTAATTAATCAATTCAGTATTGATCATATGATTAGAATATCTTTTTTGAACTTGATATAGTTAAAATTACAAAAGGAATGACTTTGAAGGATAATATTAATAAATTGAACTTCAGTAACATTAAGAATAAGCATCAAAATTTCACAATTAGGAGAATCAAAGGGCAAGTTACAATAATGAAAGAGATATGTACTATTGTGTTTGAAAAAGATTAGTAATGATAACATAGAAATCAGCTCCCATAAATAATTGAGAAACAATCAATTGAATTAAAAATGGCACAAAGTTGGAATATATACTTTACAAAAGTTAAGTTAGAAAATCATGTGTTTTAATTTAAAAAAAATCAGCTTTCATTGAAAGATGAGTTTGGGGTTGAATCCTTTTGTCACCAATATCTTGAAGAGAAAGCCCTGGGTGTAATCATTTTGGTAGGAGTTATTACCTCTTACATACAACTATTATCATGTAGATTTAAAGTCAGAAGGAGCCCAAGGAGTATTTATTGAATTGAGGTGAAATATTAAGTCTGTTGTTGGTACTAAACTGATTCAACCAGCACATTTATATTTGATATTTTGCCTTTCACTTAAGATTATCAGTAATTATATAAATGAATGCCCACATATTATTAAAATTTTAAAATTCAATTCAACAATTGATGACCTTCATGAATTCTTTTGAACATATCTTGGTACATTTCAAGATACTTTAATTTAAACACTAATAGATAAAAACCTATGTATTTAACTCAGAGACATATGAAGAACAAAGGCTTGATTCTAAAAATGTATTTTCTCTTAGGAAAAGAAAATTAATCCAAGAACATACGCCTTATTGAAAATAACTATGAAGCATGTTTAAAAGCAAAAGTTGGTGAATGGAGCAGCTAATTATAATACTAAGCAAATAGTTATGTGTGGGTTAAAATTAGTGATTCTTCATACCAAATAAATTTAACATGCAAAACATAAACATATTTTTCCATGTAAATATCATAGGACACCAGAATTGAAGGTTTTTTGTTTTTTTTATGATGCAAGTTTTCTTTGTCTGTCTGTTATTTTGTGTTATTAATAGCTTTCTTAAAAGCTATGTCACATTAACATGCAGGCACAGTTTGAGGAGAGAAATGAAATGTTTGGCAGTCTACCATTCCTTGTATGTATATATAATTTTTGGATTATGACATCATCAAACAGGAGATGGCCAATGTAATTTTCAATTCTGATAAGGTGCTCCAAGAAAAAGGTAGATTGCCTTCTATAGCGTATGAAATATGTATTAAGAGAGAAGTCTCTTACTGAAGATGAAATTTATAAAGAATCTTTTCATTCTCTGCCATAAGAAAACCTCATATATCACTCATGGAAAAGAAGAAGGAAGAGCTCACTGGAATGGCGTAATAAAATGTCAGTACTAGATGGTGATTAAAAACACCATCTAAATTCTATCTGGGCAGGATACTTGAGGATCCAGATCAAATAGGCCATGTATCAAGAGAGCTGACTAAATATCACAATGTTCCATAGTGATGGGTTAGATAAATGCCAGAGAAATATATAGGCTGCATACAAGAATTACTAAGCAGACATCTAAAATCATGCTTCATAAGCATTAATCCAAATCAGTTGGAATATTTGAAATGGTGTTATTTATTATTAATATATTTGGAGGATTTTTTAAATTGTTTTCATAGCATCAAAGACAGGAGCCCATCAGATGTACTATCACTCAGTTATTTCTCTTGAATGTGAAGCTGTAGAAGGCTAGTATTGTTGTGAAAAGATGGGGTTTGCCTATAATTATATGGGAAGATGCTTTTCATCCTGAGATATTTTTCCACCATTATCTTTTTTTTCATTTTGTTGCCTTTAATGCTATTTTCCAAAAAATCTAGTTTTATAGAAAATTTTATGGATAAAGAATTTAGCATACCTTCAGATAGTAATTTAGAATTCAGAAGATGTTAGTGGCTGATCCAATAAGAATTTACCTAGAGCCTGTAACCCTTGAATATGAACTAGAAGAAACGTGTAATAAGAGAAACAGATATGACCATCCTTCTCCTGCAACCATAACCATAAATGTTCCACAGCTATTCTACTGAAAACACTGCATTCTCATCTTATTTGAATAGTTTATTAAGAGAAGTTCAATGTAATTCTCATTCTTACTACTTTGTAGGTAAGTTTTTGGTCATTGTTTTCTCTCTTCTTTCAAATTGTATCTTTGCATTTGGTTCTTCGTAATTTAAATAAAATATGTGTTTGTATAGATTTATTGACTTCTTCTGCTTAGTGTTCACTGGGCTTCCTGGATCTTTCATTAGGTATTGGTAATTAACTTTGGAAAATGTATATAATTTTTGTAATATATGTATATATTTAAGGCTATGATGTTTGTCTTAAGAATGTCTTAGTTATAATAAGCACTGACATACTGTATTTTAATACAATGTTATTGAATTTTAATCTCAATTTAATTTAATTGTTTCTTAATATCCAATTCATTTGTCTCCCTGTGAAACATGAGTTTCACAGTAGTATGCTATTTCACTAATAAACAGTTTGAGGTTGTGATGTTTAATACTATCAACTTGATTGTATTGAAGGATGCAAAGTATTGATCTTGGGTGTGTCTGTGAGGGTGTTGTCAAAGGAGTTTAATATTTGAGTAAGTGGGCTGGGAAAGATAGACCTGACCTTATTCTGGGTGGGCACCATCTAATCAGCTGCCAGAGTGGCCAGGATATAAATCAGGCAGAAAAACTTGAAAAGCTTAGACTGGCTTAGCCTCCCATCCTGCATCTTTCTCCCCGGCTGGATGCTTCCTGCCCTCGAACATTGGACTCCAAGTTCTTTGGCTTTGGGACTCAGACTGGCTTCCTTGCTCTTCAGCTTGCAGACAGACTATTGAGGGACTTTGGGATCATGTGAGTTAATACTACTTAATAAATGCTCCTTTATGTGTATATCTATCCAATTAGCTCTGTCCCTCTAGAGAACACTGACTAATAGAGATTTTGGTACCAGGAGTGGTTCTAGAGGAAACAATATTAAGGGTGGAGTTATTTCATTGGTTTTTGAGTTTTCTGGAGTTGCTGCTTAATATGATTAGACCCCAAAATGCTAAGGACACTACTTATAATAGTATGGAGAACACCGATAGTCCTTGGCATGAATTGTTTAGAGAGTTATGCAAAATAAATGCATTTGACACTCTTGTTGCACTGCTCATGAGAGGCAAGGAGTTTAGTGACTCTATACATAATACCTTTGACCATATGTGGAGAACGAAGACCCGTAATAAAGTCAGTTGATTGCTCCTAAGTTCACTGGACAAAGTGATAAAAGAAAATAATGAGCTCAGAGATTCTAACTCCCAGCTTCAGAAGCAGATACTGAGCCTCAACTCTGCTAAGATTGCCCTGAGTGAGAGTCTTATCTCCTGTAGAGAAAGAGCTGAAATTGTGGAAAAACAGACACTAGCTCCTATTATGGGAGCAGCTGACCTGCAGCAAAAGGTGCATGCACAGCCTCACCAGTTGTCTTTTGTTAAAGTAAAGCCATTGATTGAAAAAGTATGGGACTCTGCAACTTCGAAAGTGGATGTGTGGGAGGACCCTGATGAAGCTGGGTATACTGAGCTTGTAAACTATGATGAATCTATTTTGCCAGAAGAAACAGCTTCTCCATCCCCAGTAGTGGCAACATCCCCTCCTGACCCATGCTGTTATCAGCTTTTCCACCTTTGTCTGAGGGTATAAACCCTGCACTGCTGAGGCAACAGTGATGGCCTTCGCTGAGGCAGTTGCCAGACAAGATACTGTTGATTCTCCTAAGGAGCTACCCTATTTGCTTCTAGAACTAAAGTAGACCAGAGTCCCCGTGGGCCCATAGAAGTGAGTTTCGGAGTGTGACCCATGAGAAGGTGTGCTACACTCAAAAGGAACTGCTTGAGTTTTCTAATTTATATAAGCAGAAATCTGGAGAACAGGCACGGGAATGGATATTAAGGGTGTGGGGTAAGGGTGGAAGAATCATAGAGTTGAATCAGCTAAATTTATTAATTTGGGCCCCCTATGTAGGGATTCTGCATTTAATCTTGCAGCTCACGAACTTGAAAAAGGTGATAATAGTCTATCTGCTTGGTTACCTGAAATATGGATTAAAAGATGTACCACTTTGAATGAGCTGGAGATGCCTGATCTCCCTTGGTTTAATGTAGAGGAAGGGATCCAAAGGCTTAGGGAGATTGGGATGGTGGAGTGGATTAGTCACTTTAGACCTACTCTTCCCAGCTGGAAGAGTCCAGAAGATATACCTTTGATCAGTGCTTTGTGAAATAGGTTTGTGAGGGCAGCACCTGCATCTTTGAAGAGCCCTGTAATTGCTCTTCTATGTCAGATAAAGCAGTAAGAACCACAGTCACCTAACTACAAAATTTAAATACAGTGAGAATAATTGGATCGCAAGGTGGCAGGGGCCAAGTGGTGGCACTCAACTGTCAAAGACAAGGTATGTGTAGCTACCGTAAGGTACAGCAGAGGCAAAGCAGCTATCAGAATAGTCTGACTCATGTTGAGCTCTGGCATTGGCTAATTAATCATGGTGTTCCTAGAAGTGAAATTCATAGGAAGCCTACTGCACTGCTACTTAATTTATACAAGCAGAAAATTTCTAGGTCAAATGGACAAAAGACTAATTTGAATTATAAAAATAGATAATAGTGTTCTCTCAAACAATTTCCAGCCTTGAGCCAGTTTACAGACCCAGAACCCCTTAAATTAAGGGGAGGCCAGGTTCCCTTGAGAAAGGACCCACAGTACACTACCAATAATTTATGCAGTGAATCTTTCTCCCATCCTTCCCCACGGAGACCTCCGACCTATTACCGGGGTAACTGTGCACTGGGGAAAGGGAAATGATCAGACATTTCAGGGAATACTGAACCCTGGCTCTGAGCTGATGTTGATTCCAGGGCATCCAAAACGTCAGTGTGGTCCTCCAGTTAAAGTACGCACTTATGGAGGTCAGATAATTAATGAAATTTTAGCTCAGGTTTGACTTACAGTGGGTCCAGTGGATCCCCAGACGCATCCTGTGGTCATTCCCCCAGTGCCACAATGCATAATTGGCATAGACACATTTTGCAGCTTGCAGAACCCCCATATTGGCTTCCTGACTGATGGGTGAGGGCTATTATGGTGGGAAAGGCCAAATGGAAGCCACTGGAGCTGCTGCTAACTAGAAAAATAGTAAATAAAAAACAATATCACAACCCTGGAGGGATTGCAAAGATTTGTGCCACCATCAAGGACTTGAAAAACGCAGGCGTGGTGATTCCCACCGCAATATCCCCATTCACCTCTCCCATTTGGGCTGTGCAGAAGACAGATGGATCTTGGAAAATGACAGCGGATTATTGTAAGCTTAACCAAGTGGTGACTCCAATTGCAGCTGATGTATGAGACGTGATTTTATTGCTTGAGCAAATTAACACATCTCCTCATACCTGGTTTGCAGTCATTGACTTGGAAAATGACTTTTTCTCCATTCTTGTCTATAAGGCCCACCAGAAGCAATTTGCCTTAGCTGGCAAGGCCAACAATATACCTTTACTGTCCTACCTCAGGGGTATATCGACTCTCCGGATTTGTGTCATAATCTTATTCAGAGAGACCTTGATCACTTTTCGCTCCCACAAGATTTCACACTGGTCCATTTTATTAATGACATTATGCTGATTGGATCCAGTGAGCAAGAAGTAGCAAACACACTGAACTTATTGGTGAAACATTTGTGTGCTAGAGGATGGGAAATAAATCCAACTAAAATTCAGGGACCTTCTACCTCAGTAAAATTTCTAGGGGTCCAGTGGTGTGGGGCCTATTGGAATATTCCTTCTAAGGTGAAGGGTAAGTTGCTGCATTTCACCCTTCCTACAACTAAGAAAGAGGCACAAACCTAGTGGGCCTATTTAGATTTTGAAGGAAACATTCCTCTTTTGGGTGTGATACTCAGCCCATTTATCGAGTGACCTGAAAAGATGCCAGTTTTGAGTGGGGTCCAGGACAGGAGAAGGCTCTGCAACAGGTACAAGCTTCTGTCTAAGCTGCTCTGGCATTTGGGCCATATGAACCAGCAGATCCAATGGTGCTTGAGGTGTCAGTGGCAGATAGGGATGCTCTTTGGAGCCTTTGTCAAGCCCCCATAGGTGAATTACAGCAGAGGCCTCTAGGATTTTGAGCAAATTTCTGCCATCATCTGCAGATAACTACTCTCCTTTTGAGAGACAACTCTTGGCCTGTTACTGGGCTTTGGTGGAAACTGAATGTTTGACTATGGGTCATTAAGTCACCATGTGACCTGAACTGCTTATCATGGACTGGGTGCTTCCTGACCCATCTAGCCATAAGTGGGCTGTGCACAGGGGCATTCCATCATCAAATGGAAGTGGTATATATATGATCTGGCTTGGGCAGGTCCTGAAAGCACAAGTAAGTTACATGAGGGAGTATGCTCATGGTCTCCATTCCTGCTACCCTGCCTTCTCTTGCCCAGCCTGCACTGATGGCCTCTTGGGGAGTTCCCTATAATCAGTTGACAGAGGAAGACAAGACTAGGGCCTGGTTCACAGATGGTTCTGCATGATACTCAGGCACCACCGGTAAGTGGACAGCTGCAGCACTACAACCCCTTTATAGGACATCCCTGAAGGACAGCAATGAAGGAAAATCCTCCCAGTCAGCAGAACTTCAAGCAGTGCACCTGGTTGTGCACTTTGCATGGAAGGAGAAACTGCCAGATGTGAGATTATATACTGATTCATGGGCTGTAGCCAATGGTTTGGCTGGATGGTTAGGAACTTGGAAGAAGCATGATTGGAAAATTGGTGACAAAGAAATTTGGAGAAGAGGTATGTGTATGGACCTCCCTGAGTGGTAAAAAACTGAAGATATTTGTATCCCATGTGAGTGCTCACCAATGGGTGACCTCAGCAGAGGAGGAGTTTAATAATCAAGCTGATAGGATGACACATTCTGTGAACACCACTCAGCCTCTTTCCCCAGCCATCCCTGTTATTGCTCAATGGGCCCATGAACAAAGTGGCCATGGTGACAGGGTTGGATGTTACACATGGGATCGCAACATGGACTTCCACTCACCAATTCTGACCTGGCTGTACCACTGCCGATTGCGCAGTTTGCCAGCAGCAGAGACCAACACTGAGCCCTCAATATGGCATCATTCCTCGGGGTGATCAGCCAGCCACCTGGTGGCAGGTTGACTCTATTGGACCTCTTCTATTAGGGAAAGAGCAGAGGTTTGTCCTTCTTGGAATGCACACTTACACTGGATATAGGTTTGCCTGTCCTGCATGCAGTGCTTCTACTAAACTATCATCTGTGGACTCATGGAATGCCTTATCCACCATTATGATCTTGCACACAGCCTTGCCTCTGACCAAGGCACTCAATTTGTGGCTACAGAATTGTGGCAGTGGGCTCATGCTCATGGGATTCATTGGTCTTACCATGTTCCCCAACATCATGAAGCAGCTGGATTGATATAATGGTGGAATGGCCTTCTGAAGTGACAATTACAATGCCTACCAGATGACAATACTTTGCAGGGCTGAGGCAAATTTCCCCAGAAGTTTGTGTATGCTCTGAATCACCTTCCAATATACGGTATTGTTTCTCCCATGGCCAGGATTCATGGGTCCAGGAATCTAAGGGTGGAAGTGGAAGTGGCACCACTACCATTACCCCTTAAAGTGAAGGCAGTGTGATCCACTAGCAAAATGTTTGTTTCTTGTTCCCATGACATTACTCTCTGCTGGCCTAGAGGTCTTAGTTCCAGGGGGAGGAAGCTGCCGCCAGGAGACACAAAACTGATTCCATTAAACTGGAGGTTAAGATGGCCACTTGGACACCTGGGGCTCCTCCTACCTTTAAGTTAACAGGCTAAGAAGGGAGTTGCAGTGTTGGCTGGGGTGATTGACCAGGACTATCAAGATGAAATCAGTCTACTACTCCACAACTGAGGTAAGAAAGAGTATGCATGGAATACAGAAGATTCATTAGGGTGTCACTTAGTGTTACCATGTTCTGTGATTAAGGTCAATGGGGTATTACAACAGCCCAATTCAGGCAGGACTACAAATGGTCCAGACCCTTCAGGAATGAAGGTTTGGGTCACTCCACCAGGAAACAAACAATATGACCTGTTTAGGTGCTTGCTGAAGGCAATGGGAATACATAATAGGTAGTAGAAGAAGGTAGTAACCAATACCAGCTGTAACCAAGTGACCAGTTGCAGAAACGGGGACTGTAATTGTCACAAGCATTTCCTCCTTCTTTTGTTAGAAACATGTTTGTGCATGAATACACCTGCACTAAGAAAATCTCTTCATTTTATTTCCTTTTTTCTTTGTCATTTGACATAGGACTTACTGAGTTCATATCAACATTTAAATATTGCTAACTTTATGTAATAGCATTTGGGTTGGGGACTGGTGCATTTCTGTTTGTAGGAAGGTTAGTTGTATTATGTTAGGCATAAATGATGGCCTTATAATTGTCTTTATTTGAAGATTTTGTATAATCTCACGAGATGTGTATGGTTTCAAGTTGACAGGGGGTGGACTTGTGATGGTTAATACCTAGTGTCCAGTTGGTTGGATTAAAGGATGCCGATTATTGATTCTGCGTGTGTCTGTGAGGGTGTTGCCAAAGGAAGTTAACATTTGAGTCAGTGGGCTGGAAATAGCAGACCCACCCTTAATCTCAGTGGGCACCATCTAAACAGCTACCAGCATGGCCAGGATATAAAGCAGGCAGAAAAATGTGAAAAGACTATACTGGTTTAGCCTTCCAGCCTACAACTTTCTCCTGTGCTTCATGCTCTCTGCCCTCAAACATCAGACTCCAAGTTCTTCAGCTTTGGGACTCAGACTGGCATCCTTGCTCCTCAGCTTGCAGGCCTATTGTGGGACCTTGTAATTGTGTGAGTTAATACTCTTTAATAAACTCCTCTTTTTATATATCTATATAGGGTAATATATATTTATATATAAATATATATATAAATTAGTAAATATATAAATATTAATGTTTATATATTTATATTTTTTCCATTTTGTCCTTTCTGAGATATGTTCAATGTCTTTCCTTTCATAATGATCTTGAATTAACTGAGAAGGTTTATTATATATATATAATATATAAATATATAATAAAATATACAATATATATATTTTATAATACATAATATATAAATATATTTTACAATATATAGAATAATATATAAATTATGTAATATGTATATAATATATAAATAGAATAATATATATATAATTGTGTTAGTTCTGTTCCTCTAGAGAGCCCTTACTAATATAATGTTTTCTACCTATCCATTTCATTAATGACTTTTAGCTTAATTTTCTGGGGTTATGGAATGTACATGGTGGGTGTGATTTCGATCTTTGAAAATTTATTTGGGTTTGTTTCAGGGTCCAGGATACAGTCTTTACTGGTCAATGATTCTGGTGCACATGAAAAATTATAGGTACTTTGCAATTTATTGGATAACTGGTCTATAGGTCAATTAAGTTAATTGTGTTTCTTTTTGTGTGTGTGTGTGTGTGTTTTATAAATTTTTATTGTTTATATAAATAACATATTGTATAGTTCTAAAATTTGCTTTTATCTTTTCATTCAATATTAGTGGCTGAGATATAGACATATTAATTGATACATATCGATATATTCCATTAATTTTAACTACTTCCCATTATTTAATATACTGTGATTTATCAATTCTCTTATGTATTTTTATTACAAACAATGATACAATGAACATTCTTGACATGTCTCTTTGAACACATGGACAATAACCATGATAAGATCTGTATATGCAGATATGTGTGTACCTAGAAGTGGAATTGCTGAGTCTTTTTTTTTTTAATTTTATTATTATTATACTTTAAGTTTTAGGGTGCATGTGCACAACATGCAGTTTTGTTACATATGTATACATGTGCCATGTTGGTGTGCTGCACCCATTAACTCGTCATTTAGCATTAGGTATATCTCCTAATGCTATCCCTCCCCCCTCCCCCCACCCCACAACAGTCCCCGGGGTGTGATGTTCCCCTTCCTGTGTCCATGTGTTCTCATTGTTCAGTTCCTACCTATGAGTGAGAACATGTGGTGTTTGTTTTTTTGTCCCTATGATAGTTTGCTGAGAATGATGGTTTCCAGCTTCATCTATGTCTCTACAAAGGACATGAACTCATCATTTTTTATGGCTGCATAGTAATCCATGGTGTATATGTGCCACATTTTCTTAATCCAGTCTATCATTGTTGGACATTTGGGTTGGTTCCAAGTCTTTGCTATTGTGAATAGTGCCACAATAAACATACGTGTGCATGTGTCTTTATAGCAGCATGATTTATAATCCTTTGGGTATATACCCAGTAATGGGATGGCTGGGTCAAATGGTATTTCTAGTTCTAGATCCCTGAGGAATCTCCACACTGACTTCCACAATGGTTGAACTAGTTTATAGTCCCACCAACAGTGTAAAAGTGTTCCTATTTCTCCACATCTTCTCCAGCACCTGTTGTTTCCTGACTTTTTAATGATCACCATTCTAACTGGTGTGAGATGGTATCGCATTTTGGTTTTGATTTGCATTTTTCTAATGGCCAGTGATGATGAGCATTTTTTCCTGTGTTTTTTGGCACATAAATGTCTTCTTTTGAGAAGTGTCTGTTCATATCCTTCGTCCACTTTTTGATGGGATTGTTTGCTTTTTTCTTGTAAATTTGTTTGAGTTCATTGTAGATTCTGGATATTAGCCCTTTGTCAGATGAGTAGGTTGCAAAAATTTTCTCCCATTCTGTAGGTTGCCTGTTTACTCTGATGGTAGTTTCTTTTGCTGTGCAGAAGCTCTTTAGTTTAATAAGATACCATTTGTCAATTTTGGCTTTTGTTGACATTGCTTTTGGTGTTAAATAGTCTATATGGTTGCTGATGTTTCTTCTTCTGTTTTGTCAATGACATAACAGTTTGTTAGCATTTTCTTTTATAATTACTGATGCCTGCTTCTTTATCTAGTACCATTACTTTGCTTTATATATTTTGATGCTGTGCTGGTAGAGAACACTAACATTATGATATTTGCATATGAAAATTCCCCTTTTATCATTTTGAAATATCTCATTTAATTTCTAGTGATGCTTCTTGCATCAAGAATTACTTTGTAGGTATTGGTTTAGGTAAAAAATAAAATGTTTTATAGTAATTTTTAATGCTTTTTTCTCAACTTTACATGAAAAATACTTTTCCAAAAATACAGAGAAGTAACTTCCCATAGTATATTTTTAACCTTCTCCATATTTTATTTGGAATTTGTTTCAGTGAGCTATTGTAGCCCATTTTGTTGATCACAATAATTTACATACTCCCACTTGCAAATTATACTCCTCCCCTTCCGCAAACAACAAAATTCTCATCCAGTGATAAGATCTTACTGAATGCTAAGGATCTTACTATCTCAGATCTGATTTTGATTATTTTTGTTTCAGAAAACTGTGCCCTAAAAGAAAATGTATCTGCCCCACACATCCAGCATACTATGGTGAAGAGGGAAAAGGTGAGCTGAAAGCAGCACTTTTATATAAAAAAGGAGACTATAAAACTCATAGTAATCAATATATGTAGAGGCTTAAGCAGATACTTATGTCCACTGGTCAAGCGTGGCTAGGTCTGTCCAAACTAGGGGTAGGAAAAGATTATTGATCATGTATCAGTGCTGCTTCTGGGGAGTAGCTCTATGATTCATTTTTCTACATCACACTTGGATCCCGTTTTCGAGGTACCTGTCCATTTTAACCATTCTGTTTGGTCATTTTTAAAAGGGCTTTAAAATATATAGATTACTTGGCATTTGAGATGCTTTTTCTGACTGTTTCCTGCTGAGAAATAAAAAGACAGAAGGGTAAACGCCTCTTTGCATTTGTTTCATAGAGATCTATTTTCTTTTAACTAAGACCAGTGGCACTTTTTTTCCCCTTAAATATTCATTCCATTTTGCCCTTTCTGAAATATGTTCAATGTCTTTCCTTTCATAATGATCTTGAATTAACTGAGATGGTTTATTACATTTTCTCCTCTATTATCTTGTTATTACACATTTCTTTATTATTCTTTGGGTCATTATCAAAGATTACAACACAAATCTTTGATTTATTGTACTGTGTCTTAAATTAATTTTATCACTTCTCATACAATATTTGGACCTTCCATCCTAGAAATCCAAGTACCATAAACCCCTGAACCTAATTATCAACATCCCATAAGTAACGCTATTGTTGTCCTGTATTTTAATATATTTTAAAACCATCAGCACGTTATTTTTATTTTACATAGTTCATTGTTATTTAAATGCATATACATATTTTTTTCTCTCCTTGCTTTTCATTTCCTCCTATCATTCAGTAATTTCATGTACTTCATTTTTTCTTTTGTCTAAAGAAATGTTCTGTAATATTTCTTTTAGAGTTATTTCTATGGTTAATTATCTTAGTTTTTAGTTGTCTAAACATATCTTTACTTGCTGTTCATTGAGATAATATTTTTATCATAAAATTCTGGTTTGTTATTTATTTTTCAAGTATATTAAAAACTTCATTTTATTATCATACACCGTTTCTGCTGAAACGTTGGGCATTGGTCTAATTACTGCTCCTGTGATGGTAATGCACCTTGCTTCCTCTGGTTAATATTAAGATGCTCTCTTTGCTTAAGTCTTTCAGTAGTAGTATTACTGCGTGTGCGGTAGGCTAAAAATACCTCCATCTCTGAAAATATATATTCACTTGCTAGTCTTCAGAACCTGTAAATATTATCTTACACGACAAGTGAGGCAATAATTTGAGGATCTTGAGAGGAAGCATTTCTCCTGCATGATCCAGGTGGGCCCTAAATGCAACCACATGTATTCTTATGAGAGGTGAGAGTTGTTCTGATACAGACATATAGAGGAGAAGGCAACGTGAAGACCGAGGCAGAGATTGGAATGATGTGGCCACAAGCCAAGGACTGCCACAGAATGCTGGGCAGCCACCAGAAGCTCCATGAGGCAAGGAAGGAATTCTTCTCCACAGCCTCTGGAGGGAGGCCCTGCTGGTGCATTGATTTCAGACTTTTGGTACCCAGAAATGTGAGACAATAAGTTTCTGTTATTTTAAGCCACTGCATTTGTGGTAATTTCTTACAGCAGCCCTAGGAAACTTAAATATGTCAAGGTGTGGTTTCTTTATATTTATTCTCCTTGGATTTTGCAGAAAATCTGGAAAATGTAGGGTGATGTATATAAAAATTGTTTTTATTTTTAAATTATCCTTTCAAAAGGTGTTTCTGCTCCTTCTCACTCCTCTCCTTCTGGAAATTCAGTTATCACACATTACACCAGTTTGCTATGTTGACTATATCTCTTCATCTCTGTTCTGCATCCCTCTTCTTCCTGTACTCTGTTTGTTTTCATCTTTCTATTTTCTACTTGTATAGTTTCTCATTTATGGCTTCTTTTTTTTCCCTAAGGTCTTACTTGCAGTTAAACCTATACTTTAAATTCTATATCGCATTAAAATATTTTAGTTCCATTACCTCCTATTGATTTAAAAATAGATTTCATTCCTCTGGTTTAGTTATCCATTTTTGTATTTATGTTTTTGAAAATATTATTTGTACTCACTTTAAACATTACTTCAGTAATAACATAACTATACAGATAATCTATAAATGAGATTCTGACATCTGTTTTCTCCTGAGATATATGGTCATTGATACTGTTTCATATGATGTGTAGTAAATTTTGATTGAATGCAAAAATTGTGAATGAATAAGTGCAGGGCCTCTACATGATGTTATCTTCCACTCATAATAATTTGTTTTTTATCTGACCCACAAACAATTTATAGCGAGCTAATGAAAATGAGTGGAGAGTGATGTAGTTGAAGCCTCAAAACTTTACAAAAGTATTTAGATGTCTAGGTTATTTCTTTCAGACCTCTTCTTAGGAATAACTGAACTCACATTTTTATCCCCCAAGGCATATAAAACTTTTAAATACCCTGCTTATAATTGTATCCTTTAGGCAGTATCCATTTTCTTGCTTTTTCTACTTCTCCATGTGCCTGTGCAGTTTAGGTGTAAACTATTTTATCAAGGGAAAACTGCAAGCAGAGTATTAGTCTTACTACACTGTAGTTTTCTCGTTGCCTTCATGTTCTAGTTCTTTGATATCCCTCTTCTTTCAATTTTGTTTGCCTAGTCCAAGGAGGTTGCAATAAGTTCGAAACTGACTTAGTTTAGCCTTGTAATGTAAATCAGCAAATTCCCTGGAAATAATATATTGTTTTAAATACAGGGTTCAAGTAAGCCTTTTTTTTTTTTTTTTCCCTAAAATTTTGTCTCTGTTCTTCTGGCTTTTTAACTGTTCTCTGATATCTGCAAATAACTGCTGTTTTATTTTATTTACCTTTTATAAGTAAACATGGTTTAGACGTTTATCCCCACCAAATCTCATGTTGAAAGGTAATCTCCAATGATGGAGGTAGGGCCTGGTGGGAGGAGTGTGTGTAATGGCGGCAGATCCTTCATGAACGGCATGGTGCTGTGTTCTTGGTAATGAGTGAGCTCTCACTCTATGAGTTCACAGGAGAGCTGGTTGTTTAGAAGATCCTGTCATCTCCTGCCTTGCTCTTTGCTCCCTCCCTCCTGTTCCCTCTCTCACCATGTGACATGCCTCCTCCCCCTTTACCTTCTGACATGGTTAGAAGCTTGCTGAGGCCCTCACTAGAAGCAGATGCTGGCTCTCTGCTTCTCATACAGCTTACAAACTATAAGCCAAAATAAACCTCTTTTTAAAAACAAATAACCTGGCCTCAGGTATCTCTTTATAACAATGCAAACAGACTAACAGAAGCGCTCTTAGCAAAGATTAGTTTGATATCAGTTACTTCATAGTCTGCAGCAATATCCCAGAACCAATTATTTTAAAGGGAGCAGCCATGGCAATATCTTGAATAATGAATGTTGTTGTCCATATATTAAATAATTTGAAATTGAATACTTTAGGTTATAGCTATGTTTTTCATAACTCAGTATTATTCCTCTAAGTCAAATTTTCATGAACTTATCAGAATTATTACTTTCTTTGATAAACCTTGTTGAAATAGCTGGTAGCCTGATAACAGAAGAAAAATCTGGTATACGTGGTAGCCTTTGGGAAGTGAGATTAGAATTAATTTGTTTTGGTAATTTTGGCATCTGTAAGTAAGTTTTTTAAAATTGGGATATAATATTTGAGTAATTGTTTGAATCTATGGAAATGAGACCAAATTTAAGTAATATATTCAGTACTAGTAGAATATAAGACCTTTTAAATGACAAAAGTCAAGTAAGTTTGTAGGATAGTTTTATAAATTATTTTAAACACAATTATGTATGCATTTCATATATGCCTTTAGTTTTCTTTCAATAACATTAAAAAAAAATTAGGTGTTTTCACACTTCCATTCTTTCCTACCTCATCTAGTATGCCCAATAGCAAGTCCCTGTTTTCCTTTAGCAGAAGAAATTTAACTTCAACTAACAAATAAATTATTGCAAGCCTGTTCCAGCTATGTCCCTTAACGAAATTTGTTGGTAAAGGAGATATTATTTGAAACAAAACGAAATTCTGATTCATTCAGTCTCTGGTGAAATCATCCAGGAGTGCTGAAAACGCAGAAGCAGGCAAGATGTCAAATCATGAACTGACCAAGGAGATTAATGGAAGTCTTTGAAGCATAGAAATCAATGAACTCAGACTCAGGTAGAAAACATTGGGTATATTGGGTGAGTCTTTGACTGCAACCATATGGAGGGGCAGTAGTAAAACTGCAGCTTCTAGTGAGTGAGTTGAAACCAGAGATATGGTGATGGCCTTGTCATATTCCACTCCTACTTCTGCATGAGTCCTTTGCCTTGTCCACACATGATCCGAAAAGTCCAGAGTTAAATGGCTTTGTGTTACAGGCCCAAATTCCTGTACATCTCTAGGGCCTTTTCTATAAAAGCTCTTTTATAATTTATAATTTCATTTCATTTGCATATAACAGGTACTTCTATAGTGAAGCAAATAAAAATGGATTTTTCTCTCTGTGTTCATTGGCTGAAGACATCCAGCTGTTCAAAGAACAACACTTACCTTCTGTTCTTAATACACGATTTTCATCTACCTAATGTTAAGGGAATTGCTCCTCCTCTGTGTACCATTTCCAAGTGCTAGCCAGAAAAAGAGAGGAGAGAAAAAGATGAAAGACATGCAAAAGCTGAATCTTCCCCTTTTTATAAGGAGAAATGAAAGGTTTTTAAAAATGTTGTATATTTTTTCTTGTATATCATTAAGCACAAGTACATACATATTAGATGAAGCAGTAAGGAAATAGGGGTTTATAAAAGTAGTGTCACTAATTTTCTTACCAACCAAATCATTTTGCACTTAAACCAACAGAAGAATAAATTTGAGTCAATAACTAGCAGTATCTCTACAACCCTCTCAGTGTGAAGAGCTGTTACCTATTGTTCGTCCCTTACAAGCATTTGTCTATGGGAGGCTCAGGGACTCCAATGTTTCAGAGATGATTACCATCATGGCAACAGTGTTCACAATACAAATTCTTTGTGAATTCATTGGGCTCTGAGTTATTAAGACCTAAAACACAGTGACTTGAACATGATATTTACATATTTCTGTTACGGTTGCTGTATCCTGGATTGATATGGCAGCATGGCTCCCCAAGAATTTTAATTATCTGGCTTCTTTTCTATCTTTATTTCATCATTCCTTGCCATGACCTTTATCTTAGTAATCCAAAACCGAGTTCATTTCCTCGATTTAATAGCAAAGACAAAGTGTCAGGTTTCTCTTTTGGAAATTTTCCTGCAAGCCACTGAATAGTACTTATGTACATTTTCAGTTTGCTGAGACGTAGTCCCTCAGTATTTTTACCATTAAGGGAGGATGACAAATGGAGTGTCGTTAAGTGAAAATAAGTTAATAAATGGATATTGATTTGAGGAAAAAACTGGCAGTGTCTACTATAACAATCTTTTAATACAAAAAGTGATCAATTATACACAGCTCCTGGAATAGTAGCACATTTTAACTTCCAAGAAGGTCTAGAGTTATGCCTGTGGTTTGCAAAAGGACTGTCTGTGATAGTGGAAATGTACTTTCATACAGTCCAAGATGGCAGCCACTACCGTTATCTAGCTTTTGGGTGCTTAGAATGTGGTTAACGTGATTAAGCAACTTAATTTTCTATTTTATTTCATTTTAGTTTAATTAAATTTAAATAAATAGTCACATGGAAATGGTGGCTACCATACTGAATTGTGCAGGTCTAGATTTAGTAGAGAACTTAAGTTTCTCAAACATGACTCAGTCTCTGGAAATAAAGGTAAATATCTTCAAATCACTTTCATCAGAACAAAGAAAGCAATTTTAATATCCATCCAGATATTTTATGTAAATAATTTTTTGTATACATTTTTATTTGTCATTGCATCATAATTGCATGTGACGTGAAAATGAACAATCAATGGCTCTATAGGCTATATGCTAGTAAATTTTAACAGGAACAAAGGGAAAATGCCTTTTAAAAAGTTTTGTTTTTTTCATTTTTTTTTTTTGGCAGAGCTTTAACCCAGGTTTTCAGAGAGTAAGAGCATATCCTCAAACACCCTTCCACTTTCTCCTCTCCACTGTAAGACTCTTATATAAATCTGCTGCAAAGGTGACCTACAAAGCTGTAACTTACTGAAATGAGCCCTCAGAGTCTTGCTCAGGATCTGGAGCTCACAATGAAAGATTATTGATGTTTTCAGCAGCAAAGCTGTCAATTAGATGTACAGTTTGCCATAACAGCTCCAGGGTATAAACCTGAATTCCTCTGTGAATTTACTGGATCTATTTTGCAGCCACAGGGCCAAGCACGCAACTCGCCATTTGCTTCAGGAGATCCAGATGTTCACCTTATTTGGATGTGTACCAGGAATTGGATTGTGAGTTTGATGCATTGTTGGCCTTATAGCATTTTGGGGTTTTAGTTCAAACACTTATTTTTAAAGTATGTTTATTTTTTCTGACTATAAAGTGACACAGATTCAATGTGGATAATTTAGAATGTATGAAAAATATGAACAAATTATAGTTACTTGTAATTCTACAACATAGTGATAATGACTGTTATCATATTTCTTCTAAGTTGGGAAAACTGCTATTTTCATTAACTTTGCTTTACCATGTAGCTTTTTTTAAAAGTGTTTTCTTCCCCAGCCATTGCTCCTTCATTTCTCATTCACACTTCTCAATGCACTGCCATCTGGCTCCCTTCCTGTCAATCCTTTGTAGCTTCTGTTGTCATGGTCACAAATGATAATTTTTTTCTTTGTCACTAATTTGAATGGACACTATTCAATCTATCTTACTTAAATTATCTGCAGTACTTCAGAATCCTGCCCTACCACCTAGGGAAGTTAATAAAAGCTGCTGAGTCAGACTGCTTCCAACTCATTGCTTAAGCCTTTGGGAATAAGCCCAGTCAAATCTGTGTGCCAAGAAAGAATTAGGACTCAGTCTATTTTGCGTCACTAGCTAGTCTACCTCAAAACTGCCCCAAAGGGGCAAGTATATGTGCTCAATTCTTATGACGTAGCCATCTGTAACATTATTTTGTGCTCATTATCTTTTTCATGGTGGTATCGTTTAAGTTTGTGTGGCTGCCCAAATCTCATGTCAAATTGTAATCCTCAGTGTTGGAGGAGGGGCCTGATGGAAGGTGATTAGATCAGGGTTTTGGATTTCCCCCTTGCTCTTCCCATGACAGTGAGTTCTCACGAAACCTGATTGTTTAAACGTGTGTAGCACCTCCCCCTTCACTCTCTTCCTCCTGCTCTGGCCATATAAGACATGCCTGCTTCCCCTCACCTTCTGCCATGATTGTAAGTTTCCTGAGGCCTCACTAGCCATGTTTTCTGTATAGTCTGTGGAAGCATGAGCCAATTAAACCTCTTTACTTCATATATTACCCAGTTCCAGGTATTTCTTTATAGCAGTGCAAGGATGGACTAATACACATGGCTATTCTTTCTCCCAGAACATGTCATTATGGAAAGATAGTCACGTAGTCACCCACACCCAATTCAGAAACAGCTCTACAACTCAGATCCATCTTCTCAAATTCTAGTCTCCAGAGCAGCGGATAGATAGGGTGAAGCACACGTCACGAGTGGCACAAATCAGAAACATTTGGGGGAACTGATATAGTTCTGATAAATTTTAAGGACTTAAAGCACAGAGAAGCAGTGACTGATTTTCTCAGATTGGAAGAAGCCTACTAAGGATTGAAACCAAGACACAAAAGAAAAGAGAAACAAGAGAAACCAACACTGTTTGGAGTTGTCCTGGAATCTAGCTAGCTAGCTCTTGGGTCTTCTACTCTGAGTCAGTAAACTACTTTTTTTTTTTTTTTTTGCATCTCTCTCTCTCTCATTTATGATCTGTCAGGATACTAAAGCAAAAGATCTCTGACTAATTGTTCCTGAACACTTTTCCTAAGCACTTTGAATAACTTCACAGGAACAAATGCAACCTTTCTCCTTTGGCCACATTTACTGTATTCCATCTGGAAAACCCGAGCCATGATTACAGGAATTACAAGGAATGTACTCATTTTAGATTCCTCTATTCACTTGTCTGCACTTCATTGGAGGGCCTGCATCAATCCCAATCTTCTCACTTTGGCCAGCATTGGAATCACCAATATGGCTTCCCAATTACAAAATCGCTGAAACTCACCCCAAACTTTCTGATGCATTTGTTCTGGAGAGGGGCCCAGGAACTGCATTTCTAAAACTGTTGGTACCACTGATCTGGTGACAGCAGTTTAGGAACCACCATTCTATATTGTTATTTTTGCTTTCCTCCATTTAGAAAGTCCCTGAACTTTTGAAAGCCACACATCTCCACCTCTTTATAAAGACCTTAAGAGATCTTAAGCACCTGTTTTCTTCTTTATGTCATTAACCAAATTTGAAATTATGTTTTTGAGTGTGTGCTTTTGGAAAATCGTATCTGTTATATTATGCTGTACATAAAGTAGTCTCCATATATGTTTTTGTTTCCCTAGATTCCTCGCTTTTACAGTTCACAATAAAGTTCACGCTCCTATGGGAATCTAATGCCACTGTTGATCTGACAAGAGGCAGAACTCAGGGGGTAATGCGGGCTCGCCCACTGCTCACCCTCTGTTGTGCGGCCAGGTTTTTAACAGGCCATGGAGAGGAACTGGTCCATGGCGCATGGCCCACAGGTTGGGGACCTTTGCTGTGTAGTATGGTTTTTCCATTACAGACTCTCAGTAGATGATCATGAATACATGAAGTCTTCATAATGTTTTTCAGGATATGGAATCATTCTATATGTTCTTACAATTCACATTCATTTTTCTATTAAAGCTGCATTCCCACTTCATTTAATTATTGACTAATTTTCTATCTTATTCACTAGTACATAGGATGAGAAAATGAACTTTATCATGTTTGTCTCTGAAGTCCACTACTTTTATACATTTCAATTTTCTGATAGTAATTGATAAATCAGTGGTAGGTACATCAAATTAAAACATCTTCAGTTTGATCTTAAACATTGCACAGCATTTTATATTTTATGGAAATACTGTAATTCATTCACTCAGGATATTCTTGTTAGTTAATATTAGCTTGTTTTCACCTCTCATGGTTATAAAGCATTAAATATACACAGTGTGCACATCTGTCTACATGTTACATTATTTTCATGAGATGAACATCAAAGAGAGAAATGACTTGATCAAGTAACATTAGCATCCTACAAGCTATTGTATTATTGTGCAATATGTTATGCAAAAACATGGAAATTTATACTTTCACCACCAGTCTTTGAAATGCCTTCTTTAACAACAGCTAGAATTGAACGTGCAAATGGTAAAACTGCTTTTATATCTCAGTAGATGAAAATACTTGCAAATATGTTTAAATTTCTGATTACCTTTATTTACTTGCTCATTATTTATATTTTGAAAATCTTTTGCCTTTTTCTTTACTTAAATTTTTCTTCTCAATAAATGTACAATTATCTTGTTTTTACCATTATAATTTAAGAAACCTTTTCTCTATGTATATATACATACATTATATATGTATATGTCTATGCACATGTATAAGGTATATAGATTGTCAGTTTGGGAAAAAAATTATACCCTTTTCCGGAAATTACAAATCTTCATGTGGAGAACCTCCACATTTTTTAAGTCAGTTTTTTGTGATAAGGTGAATCTGCTTAATTCAGTGAAGACAATTTATAGTTACAATTTTCCCATAAATTATCCACAGAGAATTTATCAGTAATTAAGGTAATCAAGAGGGAAGAGGAAGTAATTTTACAGTAAGAAAGTACTTTGACCTCATCCCTCACTTGGGTCTCTGTTTTATCTACACTGAACTTGTAAAGCACCAACAATATTAATTACCATAACAAAATTAATTATAATAGGTATTTATTATGTGACTATTGCATTATGGAAAATACTTGAAATGGTTTATGTAAAATATTTCACTTAATACCTAAAAAAGCTCTTTAATCAATACAAAAATAAGTCAACCATTTTGGTATAAGTGGTTTTAAAATGTACATCAAGAAGTGGGACAATTTTCACCAAGTCTCCTAAGTCCCTTATTAAAAATAAGAGTTCAAATCCATTCTGAGAATAATGACTCAGAACTTCTCATGATGACTCCCTAAATTATATCTTTCTCACAAGAAGACGAAGTGACCCTAAGTTTTGGAAACCCTTTTATGGAATTTTAAGTTTGATTGTATTTCTAAGATCCTATGGTATGGAGGAAATTACATTGCTCAGAGATAAGAGGAAAAAGCATGACATTTTCTCTAACCCAAATTAATAATTATTAAATACAAAAACAAATTCAAAATGCATAACCAATCTGCTGCTCTGCTGATCTACAATCACAAATCTTTGCAACCAAAGCTGGTCCTTTGCTCTCTATGATTTATTAGGACATATAATGGAAGACAATTATTAAAACTTAAATTACTTTCCATGTTTAGATATATAGAATTTAGTGAGGCAAGGTGGGGAATAAAAGAGGAATAGAAATGTTGGTCGATAATCACAATTCATATTAATCTAAGTGGATTTATTATGAATGGATATGTTGAAGCATTGTATATTTCCCAAAGAATTATAGTTGACCTTAAAAAAAACACAAAATAAATGCAATACCAAAAAATAAATGGCATTTAATTGAGGTAATCAAGAGGGAAGAGAAAGTAATGTAATAGAGTATAAAGCCAGTTAAAAGACAGGTCCTTAAAACATATATAATGTAGCTCTGTTATTTTGACTACCATTTGGCTGAATTGATTGTTTCTAATTCTTAGGCATAGAGACAGATCAATAAGAAAGGTTGAAAATACACAAAGTCATCTCATCACATGAAGGTTTGATATTTTCATTCAACTTAAATGACAGTATTTGAATATTGATAATTTGTTATGAAATTATAGTTTGCATTTACCTTACATTTTTTGGTTCAATTTATCTGGAAGGAGAATGATTCAGATAAAGAATTCTCTGCTAAAATACAGGTTCTCTTATGTATAGAGATATATTTACTATATATAGTGGATATATAGTATTGTATATTATATAGATATGTAGTATCACATAATTATGTATTACATAGTTATATAATTATATAATTATAATAATTATTATAATTATATCATTATAATTATAATAATTATTATAATTATATTATTATAATATAATTATTATTATAATTATATTAATATAATTATAATTATATTAATATATTATAATTATAATAATATTATATTAATATAATATAATAATTATTATATTATAATAATATAATTATAATTATAATTATTATTATAATTATATTATTATAATAATAATTATAATTATATAATTATATAATACTATATTGATGCATAATTATTATACGTATAGCTATTCTAGTGTATAATTATGTATTATATAATGTCTTATATAAATATATTCTATGTAACTATATTATATATAATTTTTATAAACATAATCATAATATATAACTACATATAATATATATCTACATAGTATTGTATTATATAAAATTATACATCATGTAATACTACATATAATACTATAGATATATAGATATATATCTACATAGTATTGTATATAGAGTATGTATAAAAATACTATATACAGTATTAAAATATATTTATTCATTGTATTAAGATTGATATATAATATATATTTATAATGGGAGATTTAAGACTATCTGACAAGTGTAAATTAATATTGCTACTAACGTGATAGTGTTAATTAACTAAAATGAAGAAGTGTGAATTAACATGCATTTGTTTTTAGCAGAAGATCACATTAGATTTAGACGACGCTAGAGACTGAAAAGTGAAGACAGAAGACTGAGGACGATTATGAAGAGGAGTCATGAAGAAATAAGAGAATAAAGGTAACTCCTTTGTGGATAAACCACACAATAAAACACAAAATGTTATTAAATAGTACAGAATTTAACTAACATCCAGGACGGTACAATATTGCTAAGGTAAACTTTTAATTTTAAAAGACATTTTTCGTTATTCATAATTCTCTATAGTGCCTATATTTTGATTCTTGTTCATGGAAGAAAATGTTGCCAAGCAGCTGTTCTTTAATTTGAAGTCATAGCTCTAGGGCTCAATAGATTCGTTGTAAGATCTAACTATTAAACACACTTGCACCTGCGAAAGCTAGAAAATTCCAGTCAAACTTTTCCGGTTTATACGTGAAGAAGCCAGAATTTATACCAAGTCCAAAATATACCTGGAATATACTTTACAGCTAATACATAGGGGCAAAATATTTAAAATATCTTATCTCTTGAATAAGAAAAATATTTGTTAACAATTTTCTTTATGTATTTTTCTTAAAAACAAAGTAAATTTTCATGAAGAATACCATTTATGTATGAAATTTTAGTATGTTTAATACTCCTAAGTAAATATGTGTTAAAATTAAGTTCCTTGCTCAAATAATTAAGACCTAAGTCTTAAATCTTAAGATACTAATATAGAGCTCTTGAAGGTGATGATGAACTTTGTTTAAATCACACTTTATTCCCATTGCCCATTATCTTAGTTACTATAAAAAAATACCTGAGACTGGGTAATTTATAAAGTACAGAATTTTATTTCTTACATTTATGAAGCTGGGAACTCCAAGATTAAGATGTGGTGAAAGCCCAGTCTCTCTGCTTCCAAGATGGTGCCTTGTTTCTACAAACTCTAGAGGAGGGTTTCCTCACGTGTCCTCATGTGGCATAAGGGAGGAAGGGGTAAAAAGGGGCAAACTTCCTCAATCAAATCCTTTTATAATCTAATCCCATTCATAAAAACATAACTGTCATGTCTCAAGGTCCTCCTAAAGACCAAACCTCTTGATACTGTTGCCTCAGTGATTAGCTTTCAATGTGAATTTTGCAGGAAACAGCATCATTCAAACCAAAGCTTTCTGGCCCTCTCCCTCCTCAAAAAATTACATCTTTCTTACATAGAAAACACATTCATTCCAATCCAATAGCCACCAAAAGTCTCAATTTATTCTGGGGTCAACTTGAAAGTCTAAGTCAAATGTCTTATTTAAATATTGTCTAAATCAGACATGGGTGAAATTTAAGGCACAATTCATCATGAGGCAAATTCCCTTCTGGGTGTTAGCCTGTGAAATCAAACAAGTTATGTGCTTCCAGAATGCAATGGTAGGACAGCCATAGGATAGACATTTCTATTGTAAAAGAAATAGGCAAGAAGAAAGAAGTAACAGGCTTCAAGTAAGTCCAAAATCCAACAGGGCAAACAGCATTACATCTTAAACCTTGAGAATAATCTTCTTTATTCTATGTCTCACCTTCCAGACACACTGGAGTAGGGTTGAACACTCAAGGCTCCAGGGGACCATGCCCTCATGATTTTGCTTGGCACAGCCCAATCTGCAGCTCTTGGAAGTTGGAGTCAGATGCCTGTGGCTCTCCCAGGCTGGCCTTGAACACTGGTGACTCTACAGGATTGGGTTTTTGCAGGTGACCTTGCACCCGCAGCACTACTAAACATTGCCTGAGCAAAGGCTCTCTAAGGGGGCCCCACACCGGCAGCAGTTCTGTGCCTGGGCCCTGTTGTTCTACAGGGAATCCTTTAAAATATAGTTGGAGGCAGTCATGCCTCCACAGCTCTCTTGCAATCTGCACGCCTACAGAGTTAACAACATGTGGATGAAAGCAAACCTCAATGCTTGCATACTCTGGAGCCATGGCCCCATCCACACCTCCACCTGCTTTAGCCATAACTGGGGCAACCCAGGAGTATTGCACCATAATGTGGGAAGCAGAGACTTGAGACTGCCCTGGACAGCAAGCCCCGAGGTTGCATGGACACCCTGGGCCCTCCCTTGGTAGTGTTCTGCCCTCAAGGCTCTAGCACTCTGGACCTGTGATGGACACGGCAACCTTGAAGATCTCCAAATTCCTGCAAGGTTGTGGTTCCGTTGTATTGACTAGCACCTGGCTTTCTTTATTATTTATTGATATAACAATTTATATATTTATGGTGTGTATGTGAGTGTTTGTGACATGAATAGAATATGTGATGAACAAGTCAGGGTAATTTGGGGTATTCGTCACCTCGGGTGTTTATCATTTTTATGGGTTGGTATCACTTCAAGAAAAATTTGTGTTTCTCAGGTTAACCCAAATAATAAACGGAAAGGAAGACTCTCTAAAAAAATGATATTTATTTGGTAATGGGCATTGTAATGAGAATTTGCATACTGTAGTAAACTATGTGCCTATTATGGGAGATAAATGAAGACAAATGTTTTTAAAGGAAAAACATAACAACTTTTTCAGAGGATTGCCTAATAGGTTTTAGATACTTATTCTTGGCTATAAGAATCAATAACAAGGGTGGCACCAGGTCAAGACTGAACTGGCAGTTGCTTGGCAGATGTCCTCTTAGAAGGATTTGTGTGTGGGGGGTTGTGTAAAGTTGCAATGGCCCTTGGGCAAGTTGTTTCTGCAGTCTTTTGTGATAGTTCTTGTTATCAGATGTCCTACATGAGCACCCTCCCTACAAGGGCTTTTCTCAGCTCAATTTTTCAGTGTTTCAACAAAAGCGACTCCATTTTAATCTTGAAAATTTTCACACTCACTAATATTTCTACATTAACTACTACTGCTATACACTTGAGGGACATGTAAATACCAGGATTTAAACAGGTAGTATTTAAATAATGAAACAAGGCCCTGTGCAGTGGCTCAAGACTGTAATCCCAGCGCTTTGGGAGGCCTAGGCGGGTAGATCACTTGAGGTCAGGAGTTCGAGACCAGCCTGACCATCATGGTGAAACCCTGTCTCTACTGAAAATGCAAAAGTTAGCTGAGCATGGTGGTGCATGCTTGTAATCCTGGCTACTCAGGAGGCTGAGGCAGGAGAATCGCTTGAACCCAGCAGGCAGTGTTTGCAGTGAGCCGAGCTCATGCTTCTGCACTCCTGCCTGGATGACAGAGCAAGACTCCATCTCAAAAAAAAAAAAAAAAAAAAAAAGAAAGAAAGAAAGAAAAAAAATTATGTTAAAATAAATAAAAATATTGAAGCAAGAAGTTTTTAGCCTGTTTTATTCCTCCTCCCAGCTTATTAAGACAGATGTACAAAAGCATTTCAAGGAAAAGTTAAGGGTAATTAATATTGCTAAATTAAAATACTGTTATTATAGGAAGAGAAGAGAGTGAACATTGTAAAGAAACACACATTTTCTTTGTACCCTTTAAAAACATTGCTGCAGTAGAGACTGACTTATCTTTTTTCTTTAAAATATTGGTTGGTAAAAATAGTTTTGAGAGGCACTGAGGTATATTCTACTCACTGTTTCTTTAAGAGTCCTTGAGAATGCTTTATATACCTCTTGTTAGACAAAATTGCTTTATTCCTAGAGACTTTTGTTCCTTTTTATTATATTGGTAGTATTTTATTTCCATATGGGCTTTACACGTTTCTTTCTTCAATATGTAATATTGACTATCTCTCCTTTCTTTAATATTTGATATAGAATTAACTGACTACTGCCTGTGAATGCCAAATTCTCCTGACATTTACTCACCTTCTTCATTATTTTGCACCCCTCAATTTTTTTTCCCTTGAAGGTCTACTTTACGTGAGGATGAAATTTTCACATTGTTAAATGTGAAATATCGAAACTTTTTGGGAATGAAGTGAATAAATTTTTGGGAATGAACTTTTTGGGAAATAACTTTTTGGGAATGAAGTGAATGTGTAGGAATAAGATAAAATAAGAGAAAAAAGATGTAAAATTATATTAATCACATATAAGCGTCTAGATGCAAAGACATAGATATCTATGTGTGTGTGTGTATGGACACACAAATACACACACATAAATGAGTGAAATTAAAAACAAAATGAAGGCAAAGTTTTAGTAATAGTAACATATTTCATGGGAAGTATAAGAAATCACAGACGTTCTGGGAAAAAAAAGAAAGTACCATCAGGATTGTGAAACTGATTTAGGATTTATAAAGCATAATTATAATTAAAAATATTTAAAATTGATATTTGTTGCTTAATAAAGCAAACTAATATTTCTAGTAATGAACATTTATCAAGAAAGCAAGATATTAAAACTAATACGATTATGTGCATGTTTATAAAAAATCATTTTGGAATTAATATGGTAAATAAAAAGCAAAACCTAAGGAAATGCTATGTGTAACCTGCCATATTTATTTGACTTTAAAAATGCGGCTTCATGGCGGGGCGCCTTGGCTCACGCCTGTAATCCCAACACTTTGGGAGGCTGAGGCGGGTGGATCACGAGGTCAGGAGATAGAGACCATCCTGGCTAACACGGTGAAACCCCGTCTCTACTAAAAATACAAAAAATTAGCCGGGCGTGGTGGCGGGTGCCTGTAGTTCCAGCTACTCCGGAGGCTGAGACAGGACAATGGCGTGAACCCGGGAGGCAGAGCTTACAGTGACCCGAGATCGCGCCACTACACTCCAGCCTGGGCGACAGAGCGAGACTCCGTCTCAAAAAAAAAAAAAAAAAAAAAAAAAAAAAAAAAATTGTGGCTTCACTTAACACTACAAATTTCCACTAAAACTTTTGATTTGTTTATACATACAATATTTTAAGTCGAAATTACAATTTTTCTCAGTAAATATGTGAGTTTTATGATGAGAAAAGGCAACCACAGAATAAAATAATCAAAACACATATATGACCCTATACTTTATAAATTTTCTTAATTGGTTTTTCCGTTATTAACTTGGTAGAATAAACTACTATAAAATATTTATTGTGCCAAAGTGTGTCATTTAATCCAGAATTACCTCGAATAAATATAGCTGTAACAGGAATAGTTTCGTAGAATATTATGTAAAAATTAATAAAATATAGATAGAATAGAAACTAATAAATAAAAGTTTTAAAAGTCATTTTGAGTATTTGTCTTGTCAGAGTCATTCAGATTCAAATAAATTCTTCTAAGGAAATCTTTTGTGTGGTGTACAACTTGGGGTGTACTACCATGCGGCATAGTGCAATGAATGCTGAAATATTAGATTTAAACTCAAATTCTCTTGTTCACTTGTTACATGTGTTTCCAGGGTAGTTTTTTTTTCTTAATTTTATCATTTTCAAAACAGTGCTAATAACGTATAACCTGCAGGACCATTGTACAAATATTAAGTAATAACATATTTACAACATTTTGTTCTGAGTATTGTACTAAATATACATTGTTTCTCTTAAGTATATTCAATACATGTGCAAATAAGGGTGTAAGGTTTGGCATTAAGAAATTATTAAGCAATCATTTTTCCTAGTATAGCATATTTCTGTGCTGCTTACTGTTATTACTAACAAAGGCGTTTGTGTTCAGTCAAATAACAGTGATATTAGAGGGTTGCTTGCAAAAGATGAAGACTGTGTTAATATTGTGAATATTTAAAATATTTATATCATATAATTGTCCAAAAAATAAGTTTAATTATATTTACTTTTTTCCTGGAATGGTCATCTATTTTCAGCTTGGGAGAAAAAAAACAACATAATCTTGTTGAGACATGTTTTCCCAGATTGAAATTTAAATCTGAATAAGCCAACTCTCACAGTTTCCTTTGGTTGTCCTTTTGAAAGGACGGTTCATTGTCATTTTATATTCATGAAGCAATCGAATTTAATACTGAGAAAGGAAATCTAAATTCTCAAAGGTACAGGAAAACAGATTGTTGATGAGGTTGTTTGTATATGAAACACAAAATTTTTTTGAGTAAACAGAACAATTCTCATCGTCATCCACTACATAATTAAAGCAACTTTTTACTCTTTACATTAGTTGCACAAAACACACATTTGCACAAAGTAAAGTAAATCACTAACAGCTATATTAGATGTTGTTGTTTTTTCAAATGATAAACTGAAGAACCCGTTAATTTTCAATATTCCTGAATAACTATGCTCCATTGAGTATATACATACTTTTGGATATTTAAGTGACCTATAATTTCACAAAACACCAACATGAATTCCCAAATTAATCATTCATTTGTAGTCAGTGTCATAAAGGATTTGTATTCCCCAAGTTCTGTAACTTCTTAAATAGAAATATCTTGGGAAAAAGACAATTATCTTGACAAAATCTTTGTATGCTTTGAATTTAGTAATTTGTTCTTGTCACATTCTTCAAAAACGGTTAAAGAGATTATTAGTCATAAAATTAGCATCAAAGGGTGATAGAAAACTTTTTATGAGAAAACTAGGTAACTAACTCCTTATGTTTGGGTATAAAAAAAGATTTTATAGTAAGAATGTACAATGTGAGTAAGAATTTATAAAAGGGAAAGCGAAATATAGTAACATCTATACCATGACTACATGCAAATAAGGTGTATATATATATTATTTTATAAGAGTTAAGACAGTCAGGTGTGGTGGCTCACGCTGGTAATCTCAGCACTTTGGGAGGCCAGGGCAGGCAGATCGGTTGAGCTCAGGAGTTCAAGACCAGTCTGGCCATCATGGCGAAACCCTGTCTCTAGTAAAAATACAAAAATTAGCCAGGTGTGGTGGCACACACCTGTGATCTCACCTACTCCAGAAGCTGAGGCAGGAGAAACGCTTGGACCTGGGAGGTGGAGGTTGCAGGGAGCTGAGATCATGCCACTGCACTCCACCCTGGGTGACAGAGCAGGACTTTGCCTAAAAAAAGAAAAAAAAAATTAAAGGGTTAAAGTATATATACAAATGTACAAAATATATATAAAACACACGTATAATCTATAACTATTATATGTTAGATATATTTTTACAATCGTATTTAGATTGGTTATATTCATATATTTCTGACATCTCACTTTTCTTGCATTTAGAGATGTTTAAATCTACTTTTAGTATGGCTAGGATAAATTTTGTTGCATTTCCTGTGTATTTTACAATAAGAAAAAAGGAAAAAATAATTTTAAACAATTGTTAAGTAACTCTATGGCAACAATTAGATATCCCAGAAGGAATTACAATTTCTAGTCAAAATATCAGTGTTGATAATTGAGAATAAAAACATCAAGGCTATAATTTATATTGAGTAAATTATTTTAAGCTTCAGCAACTCAAACACATTATTTATTCTTACTGATAGTATTTTTTATCTAAAAAGTAGTAATTATGTAATCAACTTCATAGGATTTTTCCAATAATTAATTATTATATGAAACAGTTTGTAATATTTTAAGTGGTAATACATATATACTGATATTATCATTATTGTATAAAGATTAGCATAATATATGCTAATATCATTATCAATAAATTGTTATTAATTCTTATATTATTATATAATAGTGGTAAGAATAATATGCTAATATTATCATTCTTATTGTATTTATCATCATAGTTACCCAACATATGATATCTAGATTTTATTTAAACTTTCAAATTATGTATTCGTTTCTTTATAATTTATAAATTTCTGAGTCAAAAATTATGTAAATCTGCCTTTTTTTATTTTTGTGAGGCCAGCAAGAATAATTTTCTGATTGAATTCTAGCTAATGGGATGTGAGTGGAAGAGTTGTAGAGCACTTTCAAGCCATGAAAACATTTTCACATTTCACATTCTTTCCCCATTCTGCGGTGACTGTGGAGGCTGGGCATTACAAAATGAAAGAGGTCTCCATACTGACTGATTTTGGAAAATATAGGTATTCTGACTTGGGGAGAGTCTCCAAAGACAGTGTTCCAACTTAACCTGGAAAGGTATGTAAAAGAGAAATAAAATTTTGTTGAGATAATGTTATGGAGATTGTGTGGTATTTGCTACTAAAAAAAAGCATAATTGCAGCACTATTTACAATCGCAAAAACTTGGAACCAACCCAAATGTACAACAATAATAGACTGGATAGAGAAAATGTGGCACATATTCACCATGGAATATTATGCAGCCATAAAAGAGAATGAGTTCACATCTTTTGCAGGGACATGGATGAAGCTGGAAGCCATCATTCTCAGCAAACTAACACAGGAACAGAAAACCAAACATCACATGTTCTCACTCATAAGTGGGAGTTGAACAATGAGAACACATGGACACAGGGAGGGGAATATCACACACCGAAGATTGTCAGGGGTTCGGGGACAAGGGGACGGAGAGCATTAGGACAAATACCTAATGCATGCTGGGCTTAAAACCTAGATAACGGGTTGATAGGTGCAGCCAACTACCGTGGCACACGTATACCTGTATAACAAACCTGCATGTTCTGCACGTGTATCCCAGAACTTAAAAGTAAAAAAAAAAAAAAAAAAAAAAAGATTTGTTATTTATGCAAAACAATACAGAGCCATCTAAACCAATATGATGAGGACTAGTATTTGATCAGTATTTCCCAAAATGTTTAAAGAGAAAAATTATAAAAGAACTATATTTAAAGCATTTTATATTAACCAAAACATACACATATCTATTTATTTTAACTTGTAGGTATAGATTCTTTTCTTGGAAAACTAATCTTTAAATCAGAATTTTTTTCTTTCTTGCATCATTTATATCCAGGAAGCAAAATGGAAACTTAAAATTTGATATCTTTAAACTGAAACAAGAAATCAAGGTTACACATGAAACAATTAGAGTACACAGGCATATTTAGATGAGTTGTTTCCTTTTATTTTATATTCTCGAACCCCTAACCTAAATAGATAACTTTTGCTTAGCGTCTTCTTTTCATGGAGACTTTCTATAAAAAAATCACGCACGTTTTATTAGATTACTTAATGTTGAGAAATGAAGGGTTTTCTATATACAGTCTTTTCTTCTGTTGTACGTTTTATTGAACATAGGAATTTGCCTCAACACAATTGATTATTAGTAACATTTTGAGCATAAGGCAAATTTCACTTTTGCTTGTGTGTAATTTCATCTTTAAGAATCACAAGCTGAACAGAGAAAATTGCACTCAGCAGAATTAAGCCTTCTAAAAATACACAAATATGTACGCGCACACACACTCACAGATCTACCAGTTATCTCAGTACTATAAGCCACGTTCTTTCATATCTGATGTTATAACTTTTCCTGTCATTTCAGATAATGCTTACAACACTGCTTCATAAAAGCTAACAAGCTGCATTTCTTCTGACATCCACTTACAAACAAATTTCAGGTCCTTTTCAAGGTGGAGTGCCATATTGTACTATTTATGCATTTCTAAACCATTTAATATGTGTCTTAGCCCCTTTTGTGCTGCTATAACCGAATACCCAAGAATGGGTAATTTATAATGAACATAAATGTTTTGTCTCACAGTTCTGAAGGCTGAAAAATCCAAGATAAAGGTACTTATATGTGAAGGGGTTTGTTTCTCCTTTGTCACATGGTGGAGGGCAGAAGCGCAAAAGTTCAAGAAAGCAAATTCACTCCAATGAGCCCTTTTCATAATGGCATTAATCTACTCATGACCTAAACACCTCCCATTTGGTGCCACTGCCCAACACTGTTGCATTGAGGATTAAGTTTGCAACACATAAATTCTGGAGAACACAATGAAACTAATTCATGCAAACTTTCAAAATTTATATCCTTCTCACAAAATACACTTCCTCCATACTCCAAGCCCCATAATTCTCAACTCATTCCGGCACCAATTTTAAAGTCTAATATGAGTGAGACTCAAGGTGCAATTCATTCTGAGGCAAAGTTTCCTCCAACGTGAGCCTGAAATATCAAAATAAGTTATTTGTTTCCAAAATGCAATTGTGGAGCAAGCAAAGGATAGACATTACCATTTCAAAAAGAAGTAATTGTCAAGAAAAAATAAAAAAAAAGAAGTCATAGTTACCAAGGAAGCCCAAAACACAACAAGGCAAACAACAATCAAATCTATTTTGACAATAATCTTCATTGACTCCATGACCCACCTTCCAGACACACTGGGGTGGGAATTAGGCCTCAAGGCCTCAGGCAGCCCTGTCTCTATGACTTTGCTGAGCTCAACCCATGCATCAGCTCTTAGATTGGAGTCTTGTGGTTGCAGCTTTCCTAGAGTTGTGTCCCATGGTGGTGGTTCTAGAGTACTGGTATCTTTGGAGCAGCCCTGACCACATAGCTCCACCTGACATTGACCTAGTAGGATTGTGGTAGCTCAATCCCTGTGGTAGGTCTCTGCAGCATCCTTAGAAATCTAAGTGGAGACAGCCATGCCTCCACAGCTCCTATATTCTGCAAACTTGAGAATTAGCAACATGTGGACACAACTGAGTTTTATTTATGTATAAGCTTGTAGCTTCTGTGTGGCAGCTACATATGTTCCTGGGCATGCTTGAACCACAGCCAGGAAGGCCAAGCAGTGCAGCACCAGAATGCAGGGAGCAAAGGCCTGAGGCAGCCCTGGACAGAAAGCCCATAGGTTCTATAGCTGCCCTGGGTCTCTTCCTCAAAACCTGTATGCCCCCAGTGTTCTAGCATTCCGGGCCTGTGATGGGAGTGGAAACCTCAAATGGATTTCTGAAATGCCACTGGGGTCATTCGCTCATTGTGTTGATGAATAGCACCTGGTTTCCTTCTATTCACACTAACCTGTTTATCTAAGGGTAACTGGGACGCACCTTTGGTTTTCTCTACTAAGTGTGCCTTTTCATTCTTTACACACCTAGGCTGGGAATTTCTCAAATCTCTTCATCTGCTTCCTTTTGATTATAAATTCTGTCTTTAAATCACTTCTCTGTTTTTGGATTTTACTATATGCAGTTAAGCCACACAGGTGGCTCACACCTGTAATCCCAGCAGTTTGGGAGGCCGAGGTGGGGGGATCATTTGAGGTCAGGAGTTCAAGGCCAGCCTGGCCAACATGGTGAAATGCCTTCTCTACTAAAAACACAAAAATTAAGCCAGGCTTGGTGGTGCACACCTGTAATCCCAGCTACCACGGAGGCTGAGGCTCTGTGAGGAGAATCACTTGAACCCAGAAGGCAGAGGTTGCAGTGGGCTGAGATCGCACCATTGCACTCCAGCCTGGACAAAAAGAGCAAAACTCCATTAAAAAAAAAAAAAAAAAAAAAAAGCAAAAGCCACAAAAGCCACAAGTCTCTCAATATTTTTTCTGTTTACAAATTTCCTCTGCCGCATATCCTACTTCATCACTCTTAAAGCCATCCATAAAGCCCTAGGGCATGGACACAATTCAGCCACGTTCTTTGCTGATTTATAACAAGAGTGGTCTTATCTTTGCTGCTTTATAACTATGGTGGTCTTTACTTCAGTTTTTAAAACCTCAATCTTCCTTTCCACCTGAGCCCTCATCAGAATGCCCTTTAATGTTCATATTTCTGCCAATATTTTATTCATGACCAATTGAGCTATTTCTAAGGCTTTTCAGACTTTCTTTATAGCTCTCCCCTTATTAGTCCTCAACAAAATTACTCTTAATCCTCCATTCTCAGCAATGAAGGCTTTTTCTACTCTGCTCCTTCAAATTCTTCCAGCCTCTACCCATAATCCGGTTCCAAAGCCACTATTACATTTTCACGTATTTGATACAGAAACGCCCCACTTCTCTAGTATTAACTTATGTCTTAATACACTTTATGCTACTGTAACAGAATGGCTGAGACTGAATAATTTATATTAAACAGAAATTTATTGACTTACACTTCTGGTGCCTGGGAAGTTCATGAGCAGGTTGCTGGCATCTTGCGAAGGCCTTCTTCCTGTGTCATTACAGGGGGGAAGATGCAAGGGCAAGAGCACAAGAGAGTAAATTTTCTACCAAAAGTCCCTTTTTAATAGTATTAATCCAATTCTAAACACCTCCCATTAGGCTCCACCTTCCAAAACTGTTGCTTTGGGGATTAAGTTCCCAATGCATAGATTCTGGGGAACACATCCAAATCATAGCAATGTGTAAATCTGTGCTATCATTATTATTAGATTACTGTCTATTTTGTGTGTGCCACCAAAAATACTTACCAAAAATTTTTCCCTTGCCTTATTTTCCTTATGCACAATTTTGCATAGTGGAAATATATGACCTTTAAGAATACAAATATTATAATATAATATAACTGAATACATAACTCCATCTGTCCAAATGTCATAGAGAGAATAGAAAGATGTCCACTAAGATAGATAATTATGATTTGGGTAAAAGAATTCAAATATAAAACAAAACACACTGATGATAGTAAGATACTACTCACTACTCTAAAATATTTATCAATCATATCTATGGATCTAGAGCCAATGTTGTCATTTTCACATCTTGAAATTTGTCTTCACTTCCAAAAGCCACAGAAAACCTTCTGCAGATATGTCTATTCAAGAAGTTTGACTGGTGGGAATATACTTCCCTGTACCCTCAAAATTCAACTCACAGTATGTATGTGTGTTAGTAAATACATAATACACTTAATGCAGAAAGGCATGATGTCAGAAAAACAGATATTTTGAGGAGTTCATGAGAAAAATCAAATACACTATTATTTACAAATAAACATGATGGCAGAAATTTGGAAAATATGCAAAAGAGAAGGACATAGGGTAAGTGGATACGTTTATTTTACAAGAAATGATTTGATTCAGAGGCTAAAAGCATCCTGTCAGCAACTTGTAAGAGTTGGAGCAGAATTCTAGGCAATGCCACAGGCAATTATTTAAATTACAGTGCAGGATCATGCTTTCCTTTATGGCCAAATATTTAATGAATATTGTCCATAATAAAATATACTTAGAAGCATTACACGAACCAAAGTGACTTGTTTTCCCTTCTTTACATAAATTTAATTCTTTGAAGTTGACTTGGAAGTCAAATTCTTCTGAAATAGGGGTAAAATTAAAAATGAAAATTTTGCATAAAAATATGTCTGCGCTCTTGAAAGTATTTCATGACATATTTCATATTTACTAAATAATTTCATAGAACTAAATTATTCTCCTATGTCTAGATAAAGTAATGGTCAAAGAGACATTTAATTATAATATATCGACATATCATTTGTTGCTTATCTTATTCTATATTGTGGAATAGTTCAATCGTAAGTTTTAGAATTGAAAAATGTATATTTTAAAACTAATGATTTTTCTGTATTAGTTAAGATATTTTTGGTACAAAAACTGAATATCTTACTATCAATGGTTTATGGAATAAAGATACTTTTTGATTCAGGTAATGAGAAGTTTGAAGTAGGCTGTTTCAGGGCTCCAATACGTGACTCTGTGGTACCATCTCGGACCACTTTCCGTCTCTACACTTTGCCCTCTGGAGATTATTTGTTTTCTTCCTCATGGTGGTTTCAACCTTGACACATGGTTCCTGTACATTCCCCACACATTACATCTTTGGTCAACTGAGGGAAGTGTCAGACTGTGCATGAATTCGCCTCACATCTCTCTATTTATCAAAGAGAAAAATATTCTCCAGAAGTTGATGTCAAGAGTTCTGTTTTTGTGTCTCATTGACTAGAATTGTTCAAGCAAAGCTGGAAAGTGGGTAACTGGTGTTTTCAGACTTTTTCATAAAAGAGAAATTATGTTCATAGGAATAAAAGTTGGTGATTTTTCTGTTTAACAATTATCAACATTTGCATAATCATTGTAATGTGTTTAATCTCATTAATATATGATTTTTAAATATTTACTGTTTATTTTCATTTTATTTATTTATTTATTTATTTTTGAGACAGGTTCTCACTCTGTTACCCAGGCTGGAGTGGGATCACATCTCACTGTATCCTCAACCTCCTGGGCTTAAGCGATCCTCCTGCTTCAGCCTCCTGAGTAATGGGGATCACAGGTGCATGCCACCATGCCTGCCTAATTTGTGTAATTGCTTTTTTCGTTTGTTTGTTTTTTAGAGACACGTTTTGCCATGTTGCTCAGGCTGGTCTTGAACTCCTGGGCTCAAGCAGTCCTCCTGCCTTGGCCTCCCAAAGTGCTAGGATTATAGGTGTGAGCCACTGTGCCAGATAATTGGTTTATTTTATAAAGAATATTTACCACTTATATGTGTAGATTCAGTAATTAATTGACTGAAACTACATTTTCACTATTAAAAATCAGCAATGTTTCAACATAAAGCACAGAAAATTTTCATTGTATATTTGTATCTTATTCCTGAGTAACAGCATAAAATTAAAAACAAAACAAAAAAAGAAACAAATTATTTACTGTTCGCAAAGAAAACCTATAGTTTTCTGATTGTGTCTGATTTTCTCTCATAATGAATTTCCAAGTTGCATATTTTGGTCATTAAGCATGTACTTTTCATGAATTATGTTCTAAAATTTAAAACATTATTTTGCATGCATAATTCAAACCCTCCACAAAAGTAAACTAAAGTGACTCTTTATTACAAAAATAATATAGTTGTACTTTTCTGCAGAAGGCAAAAGAAGAATCAAGTCTTAATATTTAAGTTATTGTCATAAGATTAATCTTTATGCAATCTAATTATCCGTAATAATATATAAAAATAAATAATATAATAAAACCATAAAATTAATAACACCATTCGTATATATACACAAATCCCTGGAGAAAACAAACACATGAATGAGCAAATTGCTATCCTACAATATCTTCAAGTGAATTCTGCCCATTATCTACTATATAAATAGATAGAGATGATTGTTTTCCCAGACTGAGATAGAATGAACTAAATCTTGACTATGTTTATTAAAATTTCAAGCCAAGTCTCATTGCTCACTCATGATCTTTTTATCCCAGCTCTTTTTCTCTTTTAAGTACTTATTAATCTTTAATAACAATATTTATTGTATTTTGTTTATTTTTTCTCTCTTCTCTTAAATATAAGTTGCAAAAAAACACAAAATATTTGATTGTTCTTTCTATGACCTATTCTTAGTACGTGGCAACTAATGGGCACTCAAAAAGTACACGTTGAATGCATAAATAATATAATGCATTCTGAGAAAATGGCAGCTTTGGCATAGTTTTGTATGATATGAAATGACCAATGAAAATATAACAAAGAACTAGGGTAACACTAACAATTCCATAAAAAATATCTACAATATTCTGGGATAAAATGTCCTCATAAACCTAAAAATATGGCATAAGATGTCCTCATAAACCTAAAAATATGGCTGGAAGGAAATAAGCCGTGGGCAGCCTCAAGAACGTGTGTCAGAGGTTACAGAAGGAGCAGTAGATGGACTAGGAAGCTCTCCCACTTTAGGAAGAACTATAATAGAAGCAAACCAAGCAGGAAAGGTCAAAAAGGGCAAAATAAAGAGAAGATCTGTCATAGTTGGATAGTGGTAAGGAGTCAAGAAATCTCAAATTGTTTAAGATTTGTGCAGGTAAACCCCCCTTTATAAAACCATCACATCTGTGAGTCTTATTCACTATTATGAGAACAGCACAGAAAAGACCCATGATTATCTCTCACTGGCTCCCTCCCCATGACATGTGGGGAAAATTCAAGATGAGATTTTTTTGGTGACACAGCCAAACCATATCACCTGCTCTACTGAGAGCAAGCTGGAAACCAGGGAAAGTTCCCCAGTGTGGGGAAAGGGTAAGTGAT